>NC_000004.12:181345623-181648653 GCF_000001405.40 Homo sapiens | reverse complement strand
GAGAGAACTAAGAAAATAATATTAAGTTTCCTTACCTCTATCCCTGGTAAATCAGAATTCTTTTGTAAATTGGAAAGAGAGCTCCCCAAATGCAAAATGCAAACCCAGTTTCTTGCTCACTCGAGAAACTGCCATGAGAGTTTTCATAGCACAAAAGCTAATTCTGTTTTGTTGCTTGTTGTTGTTGTTTTGGAAGATAGCTAAATACCACTTTTTTTGGTATTTGAACTTTATTAAAGAAAATGGCAGCTGAGGACATCTAGCGTGCTTCATATGAGTCAGTTTAGTGGCTCAGAGGAGGCAAAGGGGAAACCCTTTTTAGGAAACCCGACTTTTCTTTACAATTTGTGCGAACTTTGCAGCAGTAGAGGGATTAGAGCCGTATCTCCATGTTCTAGCGTTTAGCAGCACTCTTGTGAATTAGAAACTTGTAAAACCTAAATGAGCAGCGTGCGGACATAATAATTACCATACCAGAACAGACCAATGGAGCAGGGAGTCTGCTACCCTGTCTCCAATATGGCCAGTGCTGCATGCTCCAGAAGACGCAAGTCCCCCATCATACACCTAAATGTGCAACACGGGACTACAGGGGGAAATTTCTCCCCATCCCCAGCTGGTAATCAGCAGCGTGTGCCCTGAAGCAGTCGAGTTGAGCGTCCCTGTTAATTTTATCCTTGACAATAAACTGCTAGAACTCACAGCAGTGTGGAATCCTGTTCTCAAACCTCCCCCAAAGGTTTGACTCAAGCTGAAACCAAACACCTCGATGGAATTACAGACACTGTGTTCAGAGCCTATTTCCCTCTCTCTCTTCAGACTCGCTGCCGTTCGGTTTCCCTGAGCGCCTTCGTGTTTCTTCGCTACCAAGAAAAGAAAATAGGGTATCAGCTTGTTTTCTTAACACTATTCCTTATTTCCCACAGCACATCCCACGACGTGTCCTTTCCCTTGCCCCCGTTTCTATATTCATCACTCCTATTTCTCTTCTTGGAGGAGTGACTCCCCCTTCACAGCTCTTGCAAATTTCATGACACATTTCTGGACTGTTTTATTTGTTGTTTTATCTTGCGGCTGTTTCGTTTGTGAAATGAGCGACAAAAGCAAACATAGGATCAAAGTGTAAGCATACAACAGATTCAGAAAACCGTACATGAGAATATCACACATATTGCACCCTTTTGCTACTCTTCTTAATTAATATGGTCTAATATTACTCTACATATTGCAGATACACATTTTCCTCTCCTAGAGCTGCTGCCATGAAATAGATATTTTTACCCAATTCTCAAAACTGATGCCTCTATCTTTGTTTTGGGAGCTTTATAGATAATTTGGAATTCATCATGGAGACAGCACTGTTAAATGTTCCATCAAACAAAATCAACGTGTATGTTCACACACATATATCCAACGTCTATGTTGTTTTGCACTCATCTACGTAAAAATTTATCTGTGAAGTTGTTGCTTGGTCTTAGGTTGTCATCATGTTCTTTGGAAACTTTTATCATATTTTCTCTTCTGAACTTATCCTAAAAATGTGTGATCAGCAAATATTGTTACTTAATATTCCGTATGTCTTCTTAGTCATCATTACAGGCAGCATCTACACTCTGCTTAGACATTCTTGGGGCGCTTTACTCATGATCTTTCCTGACGAAAATGCGTCATTTTAAAATAATGAGTTATTTCCCCTGTCCATTTAATCCACAATAGAATTTCTGATTTGCCTGTGTGACTCAGTTTCCTTAACCAATTCTACTGAAAATGTATCCTAAGTCTTCTCAATGTTTAAATAAATTAGATCTTTTTTTGTCACTGATGCTATAGCTCTCAGAAAATTCATAAAGCATTATAAAAACTGTGATTCTGCTTATATTGTACCCAGGGGAGGCAGGGTGAAATAATAGAAAAGGCAGGGGTCCCAGAGTCAGACGCGCCTCGGTCCTAACCCCAACTGTCGCTTGTTGTGGTCCTGCACTGGCCGCTGCATTTGGGAGCCTCAATTTAAATAGCATCTTTAAATTATAGATAATGCCTTCTGCCTTGAGTCTTTAGAAGAATGAATGGGACAAGAGTTGATGCTCAAGAAATATGAATTCTCTCCCCTTGTTAGGTTTGGGCTGAGTAAAACTCACAGTAAGCTGCAGAAGAATGCTCCTTGCCCCATGATCCTAGAAATCATTTTGGCTGCTTCCATTTCCCTCTTTCCACATAACTCTGTCAAAACACCTTCCTCTTGTTTTGACTTTTTTCCCTTCAGATCACCACACTCTGTGGGGCAGCAATTTCTCTAGATTCCTAGATCCTGTGACCCAATAATCCTGTCTTTTGTTCTTGAGATAAAATTTCTGTGTCCTTCATATAGGGTAAAAGAAGGAAGTCCTAATAATGGCAAAAATAAGAACTAAGGAAAATAAAAGGAAGGTAGATGTGAGCAGGCTCACATAATTGCTCGTGTATCTTTTAATGTTTGTGTGTGTGATTCATAACCACCACACAACAAAACAACAGCAATACCTAGCACCCCAAATTTTATCTTTGTGTTGCACTGGGGTACACTGTGTTCAGGGCTTTGCGCATGTTGGAGGGTTTAATGCACAAATGTGCGTGTCCATAGTTTGCCTGCACCTGTGAGGATCTGGACCTCTGTTGGGTATGTGCATGGAAGCTGATCCTGTGAAAGATCATGTGGGCAGCACCCAGGCCAACTTTCTAGACCTAATGAAAATTTAGGTGGGTTTTTTTAAAAGACAAAAAACGATGTGCAAGGCTAGATGGGAGATCACTTTAATTGTAAAGACATTTTTCTTAGCATCAATGTGAAACTCACAGATGTATAATTTCTGAGATCACCTTTGGTCCTATTAAAAAGATGGGTATCACCTTGGCAGTCTTCCAGTCTTCCAGTTCAGCGGCTGCTTTAAATGATAAATTACATATTTTTGTCAGTAGCCCAGCTACTTCATTCTGTAGTTCCTTCATATCACTTGGACGAGTTCCACCTAGCTGATGATTTATTGCAGTGTGGTTTTTTTGAGAGGTTCCATCACTCCCCCTCTCATATTTTTAAGCATTTCACCTTCAACAATAGTAAAGGGTAACCCAAGTTCTGTAATAATTTTGAGAATAAATGAGAAATTTGACTGTTGTCCTGTTAAAAGGGTGAGATGACCGGGGACCAAATGTCCCTCCATGGCAAATGCCTGTGACAGTGGGAACTGGAGCTCTCATGGAGTCCCAGCCCCAGATTCCTCCTCCTGAGTTCCCAGGACCCCTGCCCAGGCTCTCAGCGGTGGCCACAGAGGGGCACCATGCTGATGTTCTTCGCCTCTAACCACCAGAATCCTGGGAAACGGGCTGATAGCTGGTGATGAGGAGAGGCAGGATCCAGGTAGAAGAATCAGGTCTAAAACTGTAATCTCCCAAAGAGGTCTTCCAAAAGCTTCTAACATCCTCTCCCTATTGGAGATTTTTGATTCAAGGAATCGATTTCATTTTTCGCCCTAGAAAAATGTGATCATCCAGGAATCTTCCATTTTAAGCAAATCCTTTGCAATCCACATCATTCACCAATTTTTGGAAAACACTTTATTCTACAAAATTGTCCTCATTTAGGAAGGTGCTTAGAATATTAATTACTCAAATGCCTGTTTATTTCATCATGTACATGGTCTAGGGCAACCTCCATCAAACCTTTTGAGTCTTACCAGCCTCTCCTCCTCTCCCAGCCTTTCTACAAAGGAACATTTTTATTTGGCTGTTCAAGCTTTCCTCTCAGTGGCCCTCTAAGTAGAAATTTATCTTTCTTTAGCTACATTCCAGGGCTCTTAAAATCAGAGAGGAGGTAGACAGAGATTGGACTACAAGGAGTCTTTCTGGTGGAGTCAGTTCCTGAACTCACCTTTATGGGTGAGAATCTGGGTAATAAGCATAAAAGAGAAAAAACAGAAAAACGAAACAAAAAAAAGCAATAAGCCAGATGAAATAGATCAGCCTACACATTACAGATTGGAGGCAGGGGTCACAAAGAAGCCACTTTGTGTCTTGGTCCCCTGAATTTGGTGAGGCAGGCAGAAGGTGTGAATAGGACAGTTTGGAACTACAAGTGGGTGAGAAAGCAGAGAAAGACAAGATTGCAGAAGCATGGGGTATGAATTTGATTATCTTTCATCTTTAGGAGGCTCATGTGAAATGCCCTTATAGTATTTTTTTTTTTTTAAGATAAGAGATTCCACCTTTTTGCAGGCAATTCTGTTTAGAGACCTGGCAATGTGGGCCCACTGAGTATCTCCTGCTGCCCTGAACTGTGGACAATCACAGTTTCCCTCCCTGTCCGCCTCCCTCCTCATGACCTGGTGCATCTTGAGAATATTCCCCCTTCTGTTCATAATCAGAAACTATTACGGGCTCTATCTTCCAGGTAAGGAACACTGGCTAGTTGCTTGGAAATGTAGGAAATGTCTCTTTTATAGGCACTATGGAACAAGAAAAGGAGGCCTTTGAATTCTAGCCTCTTTGTCTTTGTTCACATGCAGAATTCCTTGCTCACCCTTGACTTTTTTTTTTTTTTTTTTTGAGATGGAGTCTTGTTCTGTCACCCAGGCTAGAATGCAGTGGCATGACCGTGGCTCACTGCAAACTCTGCCTCCTGGGTTCAAGTGATTCTCCTGTCTCAGGCTCCCAAGTAGGTGGGCATGCACCACCATGCAACACGCCTGGCTAATTTTTGTATTTTTAGTAGAGATGAGGTTTCACCGTGTTGGCCAGGCTGGTCTCAAACTCCTGACCTCAAGTGATCTGCCCGCCTTGGCCTCCCAAAGTGCTGGGATTAAAGGTGTGAGCCACCACACCAGCCCACCCTTGACATTTCTGCAATTCACTTACACAAATGTAAACTCACTGAAGGCCTTATTTCATGCACATTCTCTTATGCGGTGCTCAGCTGAAAGAGTTCTTTATCTTACTAATGTTGTAATTATTGACCCTTGACTCAGGGCTCTGGAACCTGGCTCCACTGGTGTAGATCTTGTCTGTGCAGCTCTGCTCCATTTTGATGCAGTCAACTCCTTAGTCCAATTAGAATTGTCTACACAGAGCCATCAACCAACTAGCATAGATAAGTTCAAAAAAAGTAACACTCTGGCCAGGGCAATCAGGCAAGAGAAAGAAATAAAGGGTATTCAAATAGGAAAAGAGGAAGTCAAATTGTCTCTGTTTGCAGATGACATGATTGTATATTTAGAAAACCCTACCATTTCAGCTCAAAATCTCCTTAAGCTGATAAGCAACTTCAGCAAAGTCTCAGGATACAAAATTAATGTGCAAAAATCACAAGACAAACAGAGAGCCAAATCGTGAGTGAACTACCACTCACAGTTGCTACAAAGAGAATAAAATACCTAGCAATACAACTTACAAGGAACGTGAAGGACCTCTTCAGGGAGAACTACAAACCACTGCTCAAGGAAATAAGAGAAGACACAAATAAACGGAAAAACATTCCACATTTCAAACTCACGGATAGGAGAAATCAATATCGTGAAAATGGCCATACTGCCCAAAGTAATTTATGGAGTCAATGCTATCCCCATCAAGCTACCATTAACTTTCTTTACAGAACTGGAAAAAATTAGTTTAAACTTCATATGGAACCAAAGAAGAGCCCACATAGCCAAGACAACCCTAAGCAAAAAGAACAAAGCTGGAGGCATCACGCTACCTGATTTCAAAGTATACTACAAGGCTACAGTAACCAAAACAGCATGGTACTGGTACCAAAACAGAGATATAGACCAATGGAACAGAAAACAGCCCTCAGAAATAATACCGCACATCTACAACCATCTGATCTTTGACAAACCTGACAAAAACAAGCAATGTGGAAAGGATCCCCTATTTAATAAATGATGTTGGGAAAACTGGCTAGCCATATGCAGACAACTGAAACTGGACCCCTTCCTTACACAAAATTAACTCAAAATGGATTAACTCAAAATGGATTAACTCAAAAATTAACTCAAAATGGATTAAAGACTTAAATGTAAGACCTAAAACCATAAAAATCCTAGAAGAAAACCTAGGCAATACCATTCAGGACATCGGCATGGTCAAAGACTTCATGTCTAAGACACCAAAAGCAATGGCAACAAAAACCAAAATTGACAAATGGGATCTACCTAAACTAAAGAGTATCTGCACAGCAAAAGAAACTACCATCAGAGTGAACAGGCAATGTACAGAATGGGTAAAATTTTTGCCGTCTATCCAACTGACAAAGGGATAACATCCAGAATCTACAAAGAACTTAAACAAGTTTACAAGAAAAAAACTAACCACCCCATCAAAAAGTGGGCAAAGGATATGAACAGACACTTCTTGAAAGAAGACATTTATGCAGGCAACAAACATATGAAAAAAAATCATCATCACTGGTCATTAGAGAAATGAAAATCAAAACCACAATGAGATACCATCTCACACCTGTTAGAATGGCAATCATTAAAAAGTCAGGAAACAAGAGGTGCTGGAGAGGATGTGGAGAAATAGGAATGCTTTTACACTGTTGGTGGGAGTGTAAATTAGTTCAATCATTGTGAAAAACAGTGTGGCCATTCCTCAAGGACCTAGAACTAGAAATACCATTTGACCCAGCAATCCCATTACTGGGTATATACCCAAAGGATTATAAATCATTCTACTATAAAGACACATGAACACATATGTTTATTGCAGCCCTATTCACAATAACAAAGACTTGGAACCAACCCAAATGTCCATCAATGATAGACTGGATAAAGAAAATGTGGCATATATATATATATATATATATATATATATATATATATGGTGTGTGTGTATATATATATGGTGTGTGTATGTATATATATATATACACACCATGGTATTTTATATATATATAATTTATTATACATATAATATATAATATATATATTATACATTATATATATTTTATATATATATATATTCCATGGTATATATATATTTTCCATTATATATATATACACACACCATATATATATATATACACACACACACCATATATATATATATATATATATATATATATATATATATACACACACACCATGGAATACTATGCAGCCACAAAAAAGGATGAGTTCATTTCCTTTGCAGGGACGTGGATAAAGCTGGAAACCATCATTCTCAGCAAATTAACACAAGAACAGAAAACCAAACACCGCATGTTCTCACTCATAAGTGGGAGCTGAACAATGAGCAAACGTGGACACAGGGAGGGGAACGTCACACACCGGGCCCTGCCGGGGGTGGGGAGCTAGGGCAGGGACAGCATTAGGAGAAATACGTAATGTAGGTGACGGGTTGATGGGTGCAGCAAACACCATGGCACATGTATACCCATGTAACAAACCTGCACGTTCTGCACATGTATCCCAGAATTTAAAGTATAATAATAATAAAAAAAGTAACACTCTTTTCATGTACAGGCCATTTTTATGCAGTTATTGGTACCAATATAGAAAAAAAGATAATCTTTTATATGTATTGAAGAAAGAGGAGCTAAAGGAAGCCCCGCTTCAATATTTTGATAAAACAGTCTCTTAGTAATGAAAATAGTCCCTTGTGTGATTACCAGTTTTTCAAGTTTATGTTGTCATGCACTAGTCTTTTTTGAAGAAATAGTTCACCCTTTCAAAAGAAGTAGCTTGATACTACATGGGGCTCAGTGTTATGGTTTCTATGGAATTCTTGACATGTGTGGCCAAAAACTAGTCAAAGAAATTTAGCAAGACATAGAATTGGAGGAAAGGGTTGCCCAACCAAAGTTCAGGCTTTTGGTAGAGGACTGTCAACCTGGTGGCCTGGTAGAGGGGAAGCCAGAGCTCTCCTGCTGCTGCAACGCCGGCATCACCTCCTATAGTTCCCATCAGCCAAACCCAATCAAGAATGAGATGACCACAGAGTCTGGGTGACTTAGGTGCACAGAGCTGAGTGGAGATTGATAGGGAACTCGTCTGGAGGGGCAAACAAAAATACCCAGTGCAGCAAGGGAAAATGCTGGGCCTGCTGGTAATCATGCATAAGTATGATAAAGGGTGTTGTGTTGGAAATTTTACATCATTTGAGACAGCTTCAGAGACGTGGCAGAGGAGGTATAAGGAAAAGGATGGCTTGTAAGTAAATAGATGCCTGCAGGAAAGCACTATAACAATCCCTACATCATGAAAGCAGTGATGGGCAATTGTGAGTCAAACCTGGAAGAAACTAAATTTCTTTGACCAATTTTGTTTTACCTTTGCACTTTCCAGTTGCTTCTTTTGTTAGGATGTGCCATGATCCATTATTACAGTGGTTCTCTAACTTGCAATCAGAATCACCTGGAGAGCTTGTTGATGCACAGATTACTGCATTCTATCCCCAGAGTCTCAGGCTCAGTAGGTCTGGAGTAGGGACTGAGAATTGGCATTTCTATCAATTTCCCAGGTGATGCTGCTGTTGGTCCACAGAACTCACTAAAGCCCCTTCATCTTCTTGATGTCCCTGCCTACCTGTTCATTCAACTGTCTTCAGCTTCTCCTTTTGGTGAGTGCTGTCTGTGTACCACCAGGACGTGGCTGATACACTTGGGTACCTTTTGCCAATTATTATGGAGATAAATGTATTCACTGCATCACAAAATAAATGGCAAAGCGACACGGCATTGTAAACGGCACTTGGCACAGTCCTTATCCAGCCCATACGCCCACACACGCAGGGGCTGTGCAGCCCTCAGCCTTACTGGCAGGAGTTCATCTGTTGGGGTGGATCTCCTTGGCCGAGAAGTAGGAACAAAATCAGGAGTGTGTAGTGTCACAGTAGCTAAGGGAAGAGCACCACTCCGAGGGTGGTGGGGATTTATTTATTTATTTTGAGAATAAGTCTTGCTCTTGTCCCCCAGGCTGGAGTACACTGGCGTGATCTCGGCCCACTGCAACCTCTGCCTCCTGGGTTCAAGCGATTCTCCGGCCTCAGCCTCCCAAGTAGCTGGGATCACAGGGGCCTGCCACCATGCCTGGCCAATTTTTGTATTTTTAGTAGAGACGGGGTTTCACTGTGTTGGCCAGGCTGGTCTCAAACTCCTGACCTCAGGTGATCCACCCGCCTCGGCCTCCCAAAGTGCTGGGATTACAGGCGTGAGCCACCACAGCTGGCCAGTGGTGGGGATATTAACCGGACCCTGTCATGGGATGATGGTGACATAGTGCTGCAGGGAGTGGAGCTGCCTTGGCTGCATGTGGATGGTCACAATGAGGTGCTCATTTGTATAACTAACTAGGGTTCAGGGGGCTTGATGCATTCATACAAAAGAAATAATCAGCAAATAAATAAAATATCTCTTAAGTCAATATGCCATGATATGCTTGCTATTTCATTTGGGTTATTATGCCTGGTTACATTTTTGCTGTGCCATTTCATTTCTTAGTCCATCATTTCCCATAGCTTTTTGCTCTTGATATCCAAGCAGAGTCCAGAAGAACTTTCTGCTATGTCAGATTCATGGACTAAACAAGGACAAGTGATGACAGGAATACACTTGAAGTATTCCCAAACAGTCAAAAAAAATGCAAAACAAAATGAATTCTAGGCCACCCTTTTATTTAACAATTTGTCCAGTTAGATCATCTGTGAATCAATTAGGTACAGCATGATTAGAATAAGTTCTGCAGCTTCATGCATGAACAGTCTTTCAATATGACCTTTGGGCTACTACTAAATGTCAGTTATTAATACACGGATGTGTTAATTTAGAAGCTAATTGCCCTTTTTCATATATGAGACCAAAATATGCAGGTGCATCTCTGCTGATTTAAAGGAACTCTGGAATATATATATTTGCAGTTTTTATACATAGTGATTATTAAGGAAAGTAACATTTTAAAAAAACCCACCATCTCAAACTATGATGATCATTACAATTGATGTATTATGTTTTCCAATAAAGTTTCCATTTTTACTACAGAGAAAATGGAGTACAGTAGCAAAAAGAGCAAATCTCTCTGCTCTCATAATGAATTTTTAAGGTTCTAAAGCAGTGAAAAGGTTCAGACAGACTAATGATCTTTGGACTTCAGGATTTCAACCTCTGACTTGGATTTGTTCTGCAGATGGAACATTCTATGTTGGTGAGAGCAGGAACATGGAAAAGTTGACATTAATAATTTTTATACTTCTTAAAAGAAATACTGGGTGATCCCCAAACACAGGGGGGCATTAAGTATTTTTCTATGCAGCCACAACTTCACAACTTTCACGGCCTTATCTGTACATACTTGCTGAAGATTGAATGAATGAGTCCCAGTGCTTACGCTGGAGGAAACCTAATCTGATGCCCACTTATTCGTGATTTAATTACTTATTTGGCCAACATTTTCTGTGTGTCTCTCAATTAGGCACTATGTCAGTCTGTGTGGGATAAGTAGGTTCTATTACCAACAACCAGTTTAAGTAGAATGATAACCATGTCTTGATTTTGAATAAACCAATTTTTAAAAGTTACATAGTAATAAAACTCAATTACTAGGTAAAGGGAATAGGATAAAGTCACCAAGGGCAAGTGTGTCCTGTAGACGGTCTCACATCTTACTTTTCCCCTTCCTCTTTGCCAAGAAAATGCCTGCGTGTGGTCCAAACCCCTTCTACTGATGAACTACAGCTGGGCAGGATATACCCTGTCATTCCTATGCACCCATCCAGCAACTCATCCATCTACCCATTTACTCATTTGTTCACTCAGAAATTATTTATTTCTGTTCTAGGCTCTGAGAATGTACCAATGACTGAAATGAACAAAAATGCATGTCTCACGGGCCATAGATTTTAGTGGGAGTGACGGACAACAACAAAACAATAAATGAGTACAAATGTAACATGTTACAATTGGTAAGTGCTTGCTACAGACAATGTCTGTGTCCCTCTCACATTTGTATGTTGAGATTCTAACCCCTACTGTGATTGTAGGAGGAGGCAGGGCCTTTCGGAGGTAATTAGGTCAGGAGGGTGGAGCCTTGTCAGTGTTCCACCAAAGTTTTGGCTTTTCCTCCCACAGTGTGAAGATGTTACTGGAAAAACACGGGCTCCTCCAGGGACTATATTTCCAGGTCTCCTTCACGTCTGGATAGGAACATTTGACGAGTTTTGCCACTGTCATGTGCATAGAAGTGACGTGTGTCATTTTCTGGCTTAAGGAGTGGGTATAAATTTCCACCTACTCATTCCCCACCCATGTGCTGAACACACTGGACTCCACAGCCCGGAGTTGCTGGGGGAGCCAAAAGACGTGTTTTGTTTCTTAGTCACCACATGGAGGAAAGTTGCTCGTGAATCAGGAACACTCACATAAATAAGAAATACATTTCTATTTTGATAAGACACTGAAGTTTTTTTTGTTGTTGTTATAGAAACTATAGAATAATTATAACTAATTTTGCAGAGGAAAAAAGGATAGGAGTTGCTGAGGAAGAAGGGGCTTCGCAATCTTGTAGTGTGGTCAGAGAAGGTCTTCATGGGAAGGTGGCCTTCACTTGGAGACCTGAAGGCGGCAGAGAGCAAGGCATATGGGTATCTAGCGGGAAAGCCTTTTTAGAAAGAGGAAACCGAATGTGCAGTGTGTGTAAGTGGAAGTTTCTCGGGAACATCAAGCGAAGCGAAATGGCTGGAGTGGTGTAAACCAGAGGGGTAGGGGCTGAGGTCAGAGAGGTCATGGGGAAGTGTAAAGGATGCAGGGCATGATAGCACTGTAAGTACTTTGGTTTTTAATCGAAGGGTGACGGGAAGCCATCAGGGGCTCTAAACAGAAGAGCAGTGACATGATCCGTTTAGCTAACAGGATTACTTTGGTCGCTGCGTTGAGGATAAACCGAAGAGGGAAAAGCAGAGAAAAGAAGAACTGTTAAGATGCTATTCCAATAATCCAGTAAGACACGATGGGCGCTTGCACTGAGGCGCTGCAGCAGAGGTGGGGAGAAGTGGGTGGAGTGTGGGTACATCAAGAAGGTAGCGCCAAGAGTAACTGCTGATGGATTGGCTGGGCACGTGAGAGGAAGAGAGGAACCTGTCATGACACAGTGATGGTTTGCTTTGTGTGTCAAAGATCAGCTAGAATGTGGTGTCTGTTATTTGGCCAAACACTAGTCTAGAGGTTGTTATGAAGGTATTTTGTGGATGTGACTAACATGTGCAATCATTTGATTTTAAATAAAGCAGATTATTACCCTCTCTAATGTGGGTGGGCTTCTTCCAATCAGCTGAAGGCCTGAAGAGCAAGAAATGGCCATGGGCGGTGGCTCACACCTGTAATCCCAACACTTTGGGAGGCCGAGGCGGGTGGATCACGAGTTCAAGAGATCAAGACCATCCTGGCCAATATGGTGAAACCCTGTCTCTACTAAAAATACAAAATTAGCCGGATGTGGTGGCACGCACCTGTAGTCCCAGCTACTCGGGAGGCTGAGATAGGAGAATCGCCTGAATCTGGGATGTGGAGGTTGTAGTGAGCTGAGATCACATCATTGCACTCCAGCCTGAATGACAGAGCGAAACTGTCTCAAAAAAAACCAAAAAACAAAAACTGAAGTTTCTCTCTCTTTCCTTCCACATGTGTGTACATATATATACATGTATGTTTATGTATATTTATATATGGCATATGTGTATCTATATGTTAGCAGGGAAGAGGGAGCCCACGATGTAATTTCCCCCCAGTTGCCACAAGAATGGCCATGTCTGTTCAATTCCTGACTGTGGCCTCCTCTCTTGATTTGATCTATGTGAGGAAGCCCCGTCTCCCTCCAGAAGCCTATGCTATTACTGTGCTCTGCAACAATTTTTTTAAAGCTCTTGCACCCTTTCTTCCCAGGAAATCCTACAAAGAAAGCTAATATGTAAACATGTAAAAGGAGAAGCATCACCCTAGGTTGAAAGCGGAAGTGGTAGGCCTCTGTCCTATCTGTTCCTCTCCACTCCACCCTCTCAGCCCATAGAAGTTCCCAAGGTAGCTTGGTGGCTCTCTGAGCCCAGCTTGACAACCACTGTCTTATGGAAGAGATCCTCTGACAGGTTTCCTGGGGATCAGCATGGTGGAACCCACACTCCCCACTTAGGTAAGACCCTTGTTCACCTGCAGCCATCTCAGCTGAACTGCAGCGAATCCCTTTTTCCATGTCAAATTAGCATGTATTGGGATATCCTCTTTTCATCAACTTGATCATTCGATGGAAACTGACTACTGATGTCCCTCATGAAGATTGATTAGTCTTTCAATCCCATGTTTAGCTATGATTAGCACATCAGTGTTTATTTTCACTGCAGAGTAAATGCATACCAGGTATTTATACCTATAATGAGGTGAACTAGTATTAAGGTGCAATATTAATTATGTAATAATTACAATAAAAAATTTAGGTCACGAAAATTCATTTTTCAACTTTCTCGTTTGCTATGCCCGCATGCCTCCCTTCTGCTGCTGATGCAGAGAAAATTTTGACGGCTAAATCCCATTAGAATTAATGTGACTTACTCCTGTAAATCTCAAGGGGACAAATAAGAAATAAACAACCTCATGTTTTCAGAGATAGGTCTCACAATATTTATATAAGTCTGTTAGTAGAATACATATATTTTTCTCTTTCCTGCTTCTTATGAAATCCCCTAGCAGATGAAAAAAAGGGTGAAGATGAATATAGAGTATGTTTTTCATAAAAGTGTATACGGAGGATGCTTACTTCAAAATAATACAAGTAATTTATTAATTAATTTCAAAAACTAAAATGAAAAATGCTGTGAAAACTCAGATTTTATGCTAACCAAAAAATTGTAAACAGCCACGACTGAATTGTTTTGTGAAAATCAGAGCAGATTCTAGTAGCTTGATTCATTAAGGAAATGGCTATATTAATTTAAAGTGATTGAAATTTTGATGTAAATTATGGATCATCCATTAGAGATAAGCAGAGGCTTTTAGCACATTAATCTGAAAGAGCAATAGAGGGAGATCTTATTTCCTACAAGAGAGACTTAAAATATATGTATCCTTAGTTACCTCACAACAGTAAGATCAATCACTTGAGGCATATGGTACTAGCAATACAAAATACATAGGAAAACTGATAACATATGGTTTGCATTTGCAAGGTATGCTGTGTGAAAAAAAAGTGTTTCACACCTTTCCCCTTGATGATAAATGGCTATAAAGGAAATAAAGTCTCTTGCAAAAAAAAAAAAAAAAAAAGAATTAAAAAAGTAAGACTCAAACAGATGTGTACATTGAAAATGGATCTGTTGGAGAGGCTGAATTTTTTTCAAACGATTGAAGAAAGAATGCCACATTTATGACTTCAATATTTCTTACACAGGGCGAACTTTCAAGGAGCAAATGGCAAATGTTTACAGCCCCATAAGGCCAAGAACGATAAAAGGGAAATTTACAGTTGGCAAAGGCAAATATGTAAATAAGGTTTATAGCTCCTCCAAACATCAGGTATTCTAAATTGTGACAAGACAGAATATTTGTTACCTGCATGAGACCATTGCCAAATGCTACCTACCATCGATGTGTTAGACTGAGGCTACGGATGTGGCTGAACTGAAGATGGAAGTCACATTTTTCTCTTAAGAGCAAACCGCAAATATGGAAGAAGGTGAAAGAGGAGATCTTCTTCCCTTTCCCTGAAAAAAATGGCAGCATGACCTTAAATAAAAAATGGCATATTGCATAAAGGAATTGATAAAGAACATTAGTTTGTTGCCTTGCAGGGGTTGACACGAATCTATTTAGTGTCCTGGTTGTGTGGGGGAACAAACGCTGCTGAACCAAATTTATGTCCCGTGTGCTAAAGCACTCCAGGCATAAATTCCCAAAACCCATTTCAGAGCATCTTTGGAATCTTTTGAGAAAAAGGACATATTAGTAGTGCCTTCAGACATCAGTTCTGAGTCTATAGAACCCCTTTATTCTTAAATATCTCCAAGTAGTCATAACCCTCAGGCTCTGGACGAAATCAGATGAAGAGACATCTTTTAGATTAGTTCTGGACTATAACAATTTGATAATTCTCATTTAAGGCTCAGGGTCATTTAGAATATTCTCTGGAAAAGCACCAGAGACCATAATATTTCTGGAAGCATCCTCTGCGTTTCGGAGTGTGACTCCTCCAGGGACCTATTTGCACCTGACTACAAATAAAGAAAAAATTCAATGTCAGGTGCACTATTACCCAAATATACAAGTCCTCTTGTATACCGCAGCTCATTTGCACCAGATGATCTAGAATAGCTGCTAAAATAATTATCTACCCTCCCTTTCAACCACAGACTACATAAGCTTTCTTATCTTTGGTGGTTTTCCTCGGATAATTTGCCTTTGAATTTTAAAATACTGATCAACAAATCAACAGCATTTCCTGTGAGGCTACCGTTGCAAGTTTGTTGCTGAGGGAATTCACAGAGCAATAACTGCATAGCCTTTGTCCTCAACAACCGTATGAGATTAATATCCGTATGGTGTAAGTGGATTGGGCTCCTTCTGAAGTTTCCCCCAGGGAAGAGAAATTGGGCTACTTCTGGAAGGATAACCAAATTTCAGACAGGAATCTGAGAGCATGTTTGTCATGGAGAAAATCCTCACCTAAAGTTGCTATTTTAGCACTCTACTTCTCCTTTAAGTCAAGGAAACAGAACAAACCCAAGACGACACTTATTTTAATTGGTTATAGGACTACTACTGAAGATTTATTCTACTGAAGTTGTTTCGTTTGGTTTGAGATTTCCAACTCAAAAGGGTGCCCACTGTGGCTCATGCCGTCATATTCTTAACGGCCTCCTTTAAAATGGAAGGGCTCTCAGTAAGGCAACATTCAGGGAATCAGGGAGGTAAAGTCCAAGAATGCAAACAACCCAAGGATGTTATACTACCCCAGATAAACATCTACTAACATGGGGATCATGTGTGATTCACACTGAGGCAGAAACTAGATCCCAGGAAGAAGATCAAGCTAAAAATCATGTTATTCATGTATAACTTCTACAAAAAGATTCTGGCTTTCCATTACGATATAGATCTCCTCTCATTTTCCCATATTTCTGTGCACTGGAATCCTGGAATCAGAATATCGAAAACTGGTTTACTTAATATTTGCAAAGCTCTTTTAAAAGCTTGGTGTAGAATGCAGGAGTCTATTTTTATGATGGAATATATGCCCACATGATATGGTTTGGCTCTGTGTCCCCACCCACATTTCATCTGGAATTTTAATCCCCCAATGTCAGGGGAGGGACCTGGTGGGAGGTGATTGGATCATGGAGGTGGATTTCCTCCATGCTGTTCTTGTGATAGTGAGTTAGTTCTCACGAGATATGACGGTTTAAAAGTGTGGCACTTCCCCACTCCACTCTCTCTCTCCTGCCACCATGTAAGACGTGCCTGCCTTCCCTTTGCCTTCTGCTATGATTTCCTGAGGCCTCCCCAGCCATGTAGAACTGTGAGTCAATTAAACCTCTTTTCTTCATAAATTACCCTGTCTCCGGTAGTTCTTTATAGCAGTGTGAAAACAGACTAATACACCACACCTCACACTCAGCTAGTGGTAACAACCTGGATTTGTGTAGTAGCAATAGGTTTATCTTACTCTAAAAAACTCATGGCATTTTTTGTGCTCTAATGATTTTAGAAATTGCTTTTCTCCTCAGCTCCTGCATGACCATAAATGATAGGCTGTGAAAAACAGTCACAAAGTTGATACACTAGAGCAGTGAATGCCACACTTTTGGCAATGCACTTGTGGTAGGCAACCTTTGGAAATGACCCACAAGATTCCTGCCCCTGGTGTACATGCCCTGTGTAATCCTATTCCTTTGACTTAGTGGGACTCTGAATATGATGATTAGATCATTTTGTATAGCAAAGGTGGAGGGATTCACAGATGCATTTAAGGTCACCAAGTCAGCTGACTTTGAATTGATAAAAAAGAAGAATGTCTTGGGTGGGCCTGGTCTAATCAGATGAGCCTTTAAAAAGAACTGGGCCAGGGCTGGGCACAGTGGCTCATGCCTGTAATCTGAGCACTTTGGGAGGCTGAGGCAGGTGGATCATGAGGTCAGGAGTTCAAGACCAGCCTGGCCAAGATGGTGAAACCCTGCCTCTACTAAAAATACAAAATTAGCCACCCATGGTGGTGGGGCATGCCTGTAATCTCAGCTACTCAGTAGGCTGAGGCAGGAGAATCGCTTGAACCTGGGAGGCGGAGGTTACGGTGAGCCAAGATTGTGCCATTGCACTCCTGCCTGGGCAACAAAAGAGAAACTTCGTCTAAAAAAAAAAACAAAAAAGAACTGGGTCCTTCCTAAAATAAGAGATTGGTACTATGAGAGAGCCTATGGTGGAGATTAACAAGGAGCTGAGATCAGCCTCTGGGAGCTAAAAGTGGTCTCCAGCTAACAGACATCAGGATGCTGGACTGAGGACTGAGGTCCTACAACGACAAAAAGATGGACTCTGCCAACAATCTGGGGGAGCTTGCAAGTAGTTGTTTCCCAGTTAAGTCTGTAGATGAGGACACAGCTGGCTAACTCTTTGATTTCAACCTATTGATACCGCAATCAGAGAACCCAGCTCACTTATGCTCAGGAATCTGCCCTGAGTTCACAAAACTGTAAGCCAATAAGTGGGTATGTTTCGAGCTGTTATGTTTGTAGAATTTTGTTATGCAGCAATAGAAAATGAACATGGCACCCCATCAATAAAAAATGTGTGCACACCAAGCGGACCTAATAGACGTCTACAGAACTCTCCACCCCAAATCAACAGAATATACATTCTTCTCAGCACCACATCACACTTATTCTAAAATTGACCACATAGATGGAGGTAAAGCACTCCTCAGCAATGTAAAATAACAGAAATTTTAACAAACTGTTTCTCAGACCGCAGTGCAATCAAACTAGAACTCAGGATTAAGAAACTCACTCAAAACCGCTCAACTGCATGGAAACTGAACAACCTGCTCCTGAATGACTACTGGGTACATAACGAAATGAAGGCAGAAATAAAGATGTTCTTTGAAACCAATGAGAACAAAGACACAACATACCAGAATCTCTGGGACACATTTAAAGCAGTGTGTAGAGGGAAATTTATAGCACTAAATGCCCACAAGAGTAAGCAGGAAAGAGCTAAAATCGACACCCTAACATCACAATTAAAAGAACTACAGAAGCAAGAGCAAACACATTCAAAAGCTAGCGGAAGGCAATAAATAACTAAAATCAGAGAAGAACTGAAGGAGATAGAGACACAAAAAAACCCTTCAAAAAATCAATGAATCCAGGAGCTGGTTTTTTGAAAAGATCAACACAATTGATAGACCACTAGCAAGATTAATAAAGATGTAAAGAGAGAAGAATCAAATAGACACAATAAAAAATGGTAAAGGGGATATCACCACTGATCCCACAGAAATACAAGCTACCATCAGAGACTACTATAAACACCTCTATGCAAATGAACTAGAAAATCCAGAAGAAATGGATAAATTCCTCGACACATACACCCTCCAAAGACTAAACCAGGAAGAAGTTGAATCTCTGAATAGACCAATAACAGGCTCTGAAGTTGAGGCAATAATTAATAGCCTACCAACCAAAAAAAGTCCAGGACCAGACGGACTCACAGCCGAATTCTATCAGAGGTACAAGGAGGAGCTGGTACCATTCCTTCTGAAACTATTCCAATCAACAGAAAAAGAGGGAATGCTCCCTAACTCATTTTATGAGGTCGGCATCATCCTGATAGCAAAGCCTTGCAGGGATACAACAAAAAAAAGAGAATTTTAGACCAATATCCCTGATGAACATCGATGCAAAAATCCTCAATAAAATACTGGCAAACCGAATCCAGCAGCACATCAAAAAGCTTATCCACCATGATCAAGTGGGCTTCATCCCTGGGATGCAAGGCTGGTTCAACATATGCAAATCAATAAACGTAATCCAGCATATAAACAGAACCAAAGACAAAAACCACGTGATTTTCTCAATAGATGCAGAAAAGGCCTTTGACAAAATTCAACAGCCCTTCATGCTAAAAACTCTCAATAAATTAGGTATTGATGGACGTATCTCAAAATAATAAGAGCTATTTATGACAAACCCACAGCCAATATTATACTGAATGGGCAAAAACTGGAAGCATTCCCTTTGAAAACTGGCACAAGACAGGGATGCGCTCTCTCACCACTCCTATTCAACACAGTGTCGGAAGTTCTGGCCAGGGCAATCAGGCAGGAGAAAGAAATAAAGGGTATTCAATTAGGAAAAGAGGAAGTCAAATTGGCCCTGTTTGCAGATGACATGACTGTATATTTAGAAAATCCCATTGTCTCAGCCCAAAATCTCCTTATAGCTGATAAGCAACTTCAGCAAAGTCTCAGGATACAAAATCAATGTGCAAAAATCACAAGCATTCCTATACACAAATAACAGACAAACAGAGAGCCAAATCATGAGTGAACTCCCATTCACAATTGCTTCAAAGAGAATAAAATACCCAGGAATCCAACTTACAAGGGATGTGAAGGACCTCTTCAAGGAGAACTACAAACCACTGCTAAGCAAAATAAAAGAAGATACAAAGAAATGGAAGACCATTCTATGCTCATGGGTAGGAAGAATCAATATCGTGAAAATGGCCATACTGCCCAAGGTAATTTATAGATTCAATGCCATCCCCATCAAGCTACCAAAGACTTTCTTCACAGAATTGGAAAAAAAACACTTTAAAGTTCATATGGAACCAAAAAAGAGGCCGCACTGCCAAGTCAATCCTAAGCCAAAAGAACAAAGATGGAGGCATCACGCTACCTGACTTCAAACTATACTACAAGGCTACAGGAACCAAAACAGCATGGTACTGGTACCAAAACAGAGATATAGACCAATGGAACAGAACAGAGCCCTCAGAAATAATACCACACATCTACAACCATCTGATCTTCAACAAACCCGACAAAAACAAGCAATGGGGAAAGGATTCCCTATTTAATAAGTGGTGCTGGGAAAACTGGCTAGCCATATGTAGAAAGCTGAAACTGGATCCCTTCCTTACACCTTATACAAAAATTAATTCAAGATGGATTAAGGACTTAAATGTCAGACCTAAAACCATAAAAACCCTAGAAGAAAACCTAGGCAATACCATTCAGGACATAGGCATGGGCAAGGACTTCATGTCTAAAACACCAAAAGCAATGGCAACAAAACCCAAAATTGACAAATGGGATCTAATTAAACTAAAGAACTTCTGCACAGCAAAAGAAACTACCATCAGAGTGAACAGGCAACCTACAGAATGGGAGAAAATATTTGCGATCTACTCATCTGACAAAGGGCTAATATCCAGAATCTACAAAGAACTCAAACAAATTTACAAGAAAAAAACAACCCCATCAAAAAGTGGGCCAAGGATAGGAACAGACACTTCTCAAAAGAAGACATTTATGCAGCCAAAAGACACATGAAAAAATGCTCATCATCACTGGCCATCAGAGAAACGCAAATCAAAACCACAATGAGATACCATCTCACACCAGTTAGTATGGTGATCATTAAAAAGTCAGGAAACAACAGGTGCTGGAGAGGATGTGGAGAAATAGGAACACTTTTACACTGTTGGTGGGACTGTAAACTAGTTCAACCATTGTGGAAGACAGTGCAGGGATTCCTCAAGGATCTAGAACTAGAAATACCATTTGACCCAGCCATCCCCTTACTGGGCATATACCCAAAGGATTATAAATCATGCTGCCATAATGGCACATGCACACTTAATGTTTATTGCGGTACTATTCACAATAGCAAAGACTTGGAACCAACCCAAATGTCCATCAATGATAGACCGGATTAAGAAAATGTGGCTCATATACATCATGGAATACTATGCAGCCATAAAAAAGGATAACTTCATGTCCTTTGTAGGGACATGGATGAAGCTGGAAACCATCATTCTCAGCAAACTATTGCAAGAACAAAAAACCAAACACCGCATGTTCTCACTCATAGGTGGGAATTGAATAATGAGAACAACTGGACACAGGAAGGGGAACATCACACACTGGGGCCTGTCATGGGGTGGGGGTAGGGGGTAGGTAAAACATTAGGAGATATACCTAATGTAAATGACGAGTTAATGTGTGCAGCACAGCAACATGGCACACGTATACATATGTAACAAACCTGCACATTGTGCACATGTACCCTAGAACTTAAGTATAATAAAAATAAAAAGAAATGTGTGCACACTTACTTCCCTTTGTGAGTATTTATAGCATATTATTATCAATCTCAACATCAAACATTAAAAGAGCTTGTTTTCTTATACTTTTAGTAAAATACTGTGTATAGCAGGTCTAATATTTTCTTTCTGCACCCCATATATTAAGCACCCCTCAGGTGAAAACACCCCAATTTGTAAACTTCTCACTGCCTTAGAAGATTAGGAATGTGGGCTCTCCTTAGAAAATGTCTTGTGGTTGGCCCTTCTTAATTAGCCACTAGAGTCAGATAAGATCTCCATGTTTCTCCTGCAGGGAAACCTTGTTAACGCCTTGTCTTCCACTCACCCCACATTTATTTTGTCATAAAGTCCTGGAGATTCAGCCATCTGTCTCATTCTAGGCACCAGCATCTTTCCCTTAGATTCTATACAATAGACCTGTTCTGCTTCTATCTTGCCCTGGTCCAATTATCTATTTTTCACGCAACACTTAGAGCGATCTTTAAATGCATCTCTGATTATGTCACTTTCTCGTTCAAATCTTTTCCAAATCCAAACCCGTTTGAATGGCCCCTGATATGGTTGACATATTTGTTTCCTTCAAATCCCATGTTGAAATGTGACTCCCCATGTTGGAGTCTGGGCTGAGTGGCAGGTGTTGGATCACAGGGGCAGATCCCTCACGAATGGCTGAGCTCCATTCCCATGGTAATGAGTGAGTTCTTGCTCTGAGTTCTCATGAGATCTGGTTGTTTAAAAGAGCGTGGCATCTCCCCTCCCCGCCCCCTTGCTGTGCTCTCACAATGTAACATGCAGGCTCCACTTCCCCTTCCGCCATGATTGTAACTTTCCTGGAACCCTCATCAGAAGCAGATGCTGGAGCCATGCTTGTGCAGCCTGCAGAACCATGAGCCAATGCAACCTCTTTTCTTTATAAATGATCTTAGACTAATTTTCTTATATAAATTAGTCTCAGGTATCCCTTAATAGCAACGCAAAAATGGACCAACACAGTCCCTATCCACCTTCCTGTCCTCAGCTCCTGTCCCTCCCATCTGGCACCATGCCCTCCAGCCACACTGGCCTTTTCTTGCTCTTTAATCATGCTGTGCTGTTCCTGCATGAGGGCCTTCATGCACAGTGTCCCCTCTGCCACCGCAGCCTTCTTCCAGCCTAGTCTTGCTCCGCCCTCCTGATCCTTCAATTTACCCAATTGTGGCAGAACCAGGTGAGATCATTTGCCAAATAAGCTCAGTTGGCAAAGTTTTGCAAAGTTAGCTTTGGCTTCCTATTTCTCTATCACATGACATCATAGAAAAACTGATGAGTTTTTCTATTTCTATGAGATTGGTTATTCACATTGCCATTGCCTGTGCAGACCTTGGCAAATAAATGTCCACAGTAAAAATCCCTGAAATGGGTGACATTGGCCACTGCTTATATTGGTGTAGAGGGTTTTATTCCCACTCTACTTTGACTGAATTTTCAAGATATACAATATTATTATTATTATTGTTATTATTATTATTTTTTTTTGAGACAGAGTCTTGCTCTGTCGCCCAGGCTGGAGTGCAGTGGCACCATCTCGGCTCACTGCAAGCTCTGCCTCCTGGGTTCACGCCATTCTCCTTCTTCAGTCTCCCGAGTGGCTGGGACTACAGGCGCCTGCCGCCACACCCGGCTAATTTTTTTTGTATTTCTAGTAGAGACGGGGTTTCATCGTGTTAGCCAGGATGGTCTCAATCTCTTGACCTCGTGATCAGCATGCCTTGGCCTCCAAAAGTGCTGGGATTACAGGCATGAGCCACTGCGCCCGGCAGTATACAATATTATTTCAAAAGGAAAACAATCAGAGACTGCGAAGTGCAGGTGGCTCACGTGCTCCGCAAGCAGGCAGAGATAGTTGCTGGGATGGAGTCCTCTGCTGATGGGCAGGACGTAGCAGAACAATCAAGGGAAAAATCTCTGCACTTCTCACAAATGGAAAATGCATTTTTCAGTTATTTTCCAGACTGCAATCCATTTGTAACAGAAGCAAACCTGTTGAGAAATCTCTGGAATATCATGCTATATTTTCTGGGCTGGTTATGCATTCTCAAGGCGGACCCCAAAGCCAGGGATCATCCCATCCTCTGCAGGCGTGGTAGACTGTTTGCAAAGGTAGACACAGCACTTCCTCCCATCCCTGGATCCCACTCTTCTGCCATGTGAAGGTGCTGCTTCTCCCATCAAAAGTCTATTTCCGCTACCCTTGAACAGGATGGGCCCTGTACTGGATTTGGTGAACAAAACGCAGGGAAAGTGAAGTTGTATGACATATTAGCTTCTCCTCAAGAAGGCTTTCGGCTTTCACTCTTTCCCTCTTGTTGCTCTGAGATTACTGTATAAAGTGTCCTGGGTTGGACTCCTTGAGGAAGAAAGATCCTTGAGGAGAAAGCAAGCCAGGCACCAGCCAAGATCAACTACCAGAGAGGTGAGTGAGCCCATGGTGGACCTTCCAACCTTTCCTGCACCACACAACTGCAACTGTGTGAATGAGCTCAGCAGATCCAAGAGAAGAATCATCAGCTAAGCCCAACCCAAACTGCAGAACTGTGGGCAAGTCAATTGTGCTTATTTTAATTACTAAGTTTTGAGGTGGTTCATTATGCAGCAATAGATGGCTAGGGAGAAAGCATAGAGAAAATCCACATCTGAGTGCCAGCCAATGTTACCGTGGCTTTATTCCTCTTAATTTTATAAAATCACTTTATGTGGTGTTCTTTGCTTCTTTCATAATAATGATCTTGGATTTGTTACATGTCTTCTGGTCCTATCAGAGAAAGTGAGCTCATAAACATAGCACAAGAAATGAACAAAGAAGAGGTCAGTTATTGTTGCAGTCATGAGGCTGTTTACTAATTTTTTTCCACTTCTCTCCCTTCCAGGACATGTAAAACATCTCTTCCTTGCTTCTTTAAGGGTAGATGTGGCCATGGGATTTACTTCGGCCATTGAAATTTGAGTTGGAAGCCTTAAGAGCCAGTGCGTGGTTGGACAGCTTTCGCCTTTCTCTTTTCATTTGCCAGCGAGTGGCGATGCTGGGGACAGCACTTATTCCATCAGCCTGTATTCTGGAGCGAGGACAAGTCAAACAGAGCCTCCAGCTGACCTGAGATGAACTTGTAGCCAGAGGGTTTGGGGTGTCTCTTGCTGTGGTGCAACCTCGCCCATCTTGTGGGATACAGATGTTCATATAGTAGACGCTAGGCTGGTTATGTGACAGATACTTACTTTGTGAAAAGTTCTCCTCCCACACCCAACAAATTTGCTCAGAATATCAAAAAGGCAATTTCACTCCTCTTTAAATGCTTGTGCTCAAAAAGGAGCAAGGACAAGGCCTTTGTTGAGAAGAAGAAAAGAACACCACCAAATCACAGGTATTCTATCACTATATCCTATGAAATAGCACATCAATATTAAGACTGTAGACATTTTCTATGCATCATATTTCACTTTTAAGCTCATTTTGTGTCTCAAACATAAAATTGCTTAATATCTGAATGAAGATTTCTATAGCTCAGAGCCATCAAAACACTGCTTGTACATGAACTCCTCTTGCTGATAGCTTGATATTTTAATTTCCAATGAATATAACAACTGATTGTTTACGAAGCATAAGAAAGCCTATAGCACTGAATAATTTTAGCGGCAGCTCCTACACATGAGATGGTGACTTTAAACAATGATTTCACAGATTTTTAAGAATGATTTTCATATCAAGTGTCTCAATAAAGAGGCCGAGTTTCATGAGTCATTGCCTTGACGTTGGTAACAGAAGTTGATAATGGAATAATTTCTCAAACATGACAAAGAATAAATACTTGATTGTTCACACAGGCAAAAGTTAGCCTAACTCTCCTCCTTAGTACTTCAGCATTTTCACCTCCTCCTGTGATAGACCTGCTCACACTGTCCTGTGAAGTAAGCCTGTTCCTCCACTTGACTGTGGGAACTTTACAGGGTATAGCACACTGCTTATGCTGGTAAGGACTTTACACGTAGTAATTCACTTAATCATATCATGAGCCTATGAGGTAGGTATTAATTATTTTCCCCATTTTACAGCTGAGGCACAGAGAGGTTAAGTAACTTATCTAATGTCGCACGGCTTGTAAAGAGCAAAACTGCCATTCGAGCCCAGGTCTGATGGAATACTGATCCTGAATTTTTTGTCAACTTTGTGTGATTTAAATGGCATCCAAAAAGTTTTTTTTTAATTCGAACTTATTTCCACAGCAATTTATGTCCCATAGATTTGTCTGAAAAGTTACTATTAGAAATGAATTCCTTAGGGTTTATCAATGTCCCTTCTACAAGTTATTTCTAAAAAATGTAATGCCACCGGAAGGGTAACGCATGGCATTGTTAATGTGTATTAAGTTAGTAATGTGTGTACCTCAGTTAAGAATTAATTCTGGGAGAGTTAGAGGCATAATGACTTCACTCGGTACCTAAAAACCAGGCATTCAATAAAAATTGGAAAGTACCAGAGAAAGGGAATGTGGAAGGTTGGGCACCAAAGGCCAAGGCAAACCTAATTTATATGCCCATTATCTCAGGGCTTGTTCTATTTCAATGAAGCCCTCCCGTCTCATACAAAAGCCATGTTATCATATTTATTTATTTATTTTTGAGACGGAGTCTTGCTCTGTTGCCCAGGTTGGGGTACAGTGGCGCGATCTCAGCTCACTGCAACCTCCATTTCCTGGGTTCAAGCGATTCTCCTGCCTCAACCTCCCGAGTAGCTGACATTACACGCTCTTGCCACCATACTCGGCTAATTTTTGTATTTTTATTAGAGACAGGGTTTCACCAAGTTGGCCATGCTGGTCTGAAACTCCTGACCTCAGGTGATTCACCTGCCTCAGCCTCCCAAAGTGCTGGTATTACAGGTGCAAGCCACTGTGCCTGGCCTAGTTATAGTATTTATTATAAGAAGAAGGTTTCAAGAAACAGGTTTTGACTCTTGGTATTTTACTGCTTAATTGATTGCCAGTATTGTGTTTGGTGAGTACAATCCAAGAGCTGCAAGGGTGAGAGGAAAGGGAAACGAGGCAGGAAAGAGGCAGTGGGGCACACATAGCGATGCATGACCTAGCTGACCACTGCTTCCTGGATGCTCTCTAGATGACCAGTTGACCATGTAGGACATCTCAGGACTGACTAATACAGAGAAATCACTATCTTGGAAAAGTCCATCAGACAGAGGATTAATCCTGTGTCTAACATTGCCCAAAGTTTACATCAGAGGAGCTAGTATTACCAGTATGTGATATTTTAAATCTGGCTAAATGCTTGGTTTTTTAGATTTTACCGGAAGTTATTGTGTGCGTATGTCAGGTGAATTAACTTGGAAGGTATCACAGGCTCGATTTGAACTGTGAGAAAGAGAATGATACTCGCCTTTCATTCTCATTCTCACAGTTCAGGGCCACCTCCCAGCTGCTTAAGCTTTGTAACCATGACACACAGGGAACCTCTTACCTTTGCATCTCAGTTTAGTACAAACTTAGGAGTTCCTTGCTCAGGTAGTGGGAGTTCACTTCCCTGTGGTTGGATCTTTTCCCTTCTTGACTCCACGAACCTATCTTTAATATCCATCCACTTATAAATGATACAATTCTGACTTCTGAGAATATTGGAGGGATGAGGCAACATACAGAATATATTAAATGATTTTTTTGTGTGTGTGAGACCCTGGACAGAAATTGTAAAAGGAGTTATCGACCTCTTGAGGTTTTCACTGTCAGGAGGCTATTCGTAAAAGCACACTGCTTACGATGGCAGAGATCTAAGGTAGCCAGCCAGAGGGTAATTAAAGTTAATTGATATGTTATTGTTCTCTGTATTATAGCATTAAAATATGGGAAAAATGAGTAGTTAACTCGTCAAATTGCTCTTCTATGTAATAAATCTGAAAACAAATAAAGATATAGTTATGAAAAAAGTATTAAACAAATATTTTTCTTGACCTTGTCCTAAGTAAGCAGCTGTCTCCCTTAGCAGTGTGGTAAGGCATGAAGAAAATCATTCATTTAACATGCACTTTACAGGGTGCAGATTTACTTAAAATGGTGGTTTCTGATTATGAAAGAATCATTAAGTTGAAGGACTCTTGAGTCTTTTGTTAATAATTTCATCCACATTCCAGTTCAATCATAATTTCTTAACTATATCAGCAATTTGACCTCTTTGATTATTGTCAACTGGGTTCCCTTTTTCTTCTTTGCTATTCCTTCTATCTCCTCTGCTTGCACATAATGAGAAAAAACTAGTTAAAATGTTTCATTGTAAGTCTGTGCCATAGAGTTAGCTAAATGCAGAAGTCAAGAGGACAGCTGAATTCTATTTGTGTTACAGGTATGACATCCATCCATAGATCATGAAGGAATTCTCAAACATTTTTTGTTTTCCATAAGTGGTAACATTAAAAAATTCTATTTGAGAAATCAGTAAAATAGTTAGGATACATAATAACAGTTCACATTTACAGAAATCACATGTCCCAGGCACACATTCCTTATTTTTAATTCCTGCAATTTAGGTATTGTCATTTTTTTCTACTTAACAAATAATGAAATCAACTCAGACATTATGTTGCTATTAACTATTTCTTTCCTCCTCTTTTTCTTTTTTTTTTTTTTTAAGGACTCTGTGAGAATCTTTTCTCCTCACGTAGGCTTTCCCTGCCAAATGTCAGGAGTCTATTCCTGGAAAACAGGCTTTCTGCATGAAACATTGAGAGTTCATTTCCAACTACAGTTGACCCTTGAACAATGCGGGGCTGACCTGTGTGGGTCCACTTCTATGTGGATATTTTTCAACCCAGAGCCAAACCCGGATTAGAAATATATTATTTGTGGGCTGAGAAACACGTGTATAAAGAGAGCCAACCTTTTGTGCGTGCCAGTTCCACATGGCCAACTGTGGACTGGAGTGTGTGCGAATTTGGGTATACGCGGGTGTCCTGGAACCAATCCCCCGTGTACACCAAAAGATTAGTGTATTTTATTTTATTTTATTTTATTTTATTTTTATTTTTATTTTGAGATAGAGTTTTCCTCTGTCACCCAGGCTAGAGTGCAGTGGTGCAATGACAGCTCACTGCAGCCTCGATTTCCTGGGATCAAGTGATCCTCCCACCTCAGCCTCCCGAGTAGCTGGGACCACAGGCATGTGCCACCACGCCCAGCTAACTTTTGTATTTTTTGTAGAGATGGAGTCTCCCTATGTTGCCCAGGCTGGACAGAAACTCCTGGGCTCGAGTGATCTGCCTGCCTCGGCCTCCCAAAGTGAGGGAGAAGAGCATATTTTAAATGAGAAAAAATATAGTTTGTTACACATCAAATAAAAACCTCCAATCAATTGCCAGGTTAGGATGTCAAATGCCTAAAGTTTCATTTCCTGACTGCCACACAATGAATACGGCTGTTGACGGGGATTTTGAAAGCAGTAACACACCTGCTCCGGGAGCCTGGGGCTCCTCTCACTTTCCAAATGACTCTGATGGCCCATCAATTGTATTTGGAAGATAACTGCAGGTTGACATGCGCATTGATTTGTTTAAAATGAGTACTGAGGTTAGGTACAGTGGCTCATGTCTGTAATCCTAACAGTTTGGGAGGCTGAGGCGAGAGGATTGCTGGAGCACAGGAGTTCAAGACCAGCCTGAGCAACATGGTGAGACCCCGTCTCTACAAAATAAAAAATAAAAAAAAATTGGCCAAATATGGTGGTGTGTGCCTATGGTCCCAGCTACACAGGAGGCTGAGGCAAGAGAATTGCTTGCACCCATGAGTTCTAGGCTGCAGTGAGCAATGATCGTGCCACTACACTCTGGCCTGGGCAATAGAGTGAGACTCTGTCTCTAAAATAAAATAAAATAAAAATTTAAAAATGGGTATTAAGTTTTGATGTTATAAAGAACTTTTTTCCTTTGTAAAAATTAGCCATGGATTATTTATATATGTGAGAAATACAAATAGATCACACAAACAGGATCACAGAAGGCTTTAATAAAGGGCTATTGATGAGGGTATGGACAGGGCTTGGGGAAACCAGCCCTAAGCCTGTAAAGTTGAGGGGCACTTTGTGGTCCCCAGCAAAAGGAGCTGCAAGTAGAGCAGACGGCCACTCCGAGGAAGCTGTGCCTTAGCAGAGGGACAGTATCTCCTCACGGCCCCCTTGGGAGAGGCTTGGGTAATGCGCATCCCTACTACACTCTCCTTCCTGCTTCAATCTCTGCTGGCCTCCCATTGGTTAGGCTCAACCGGAAGTCAGAGAGCAAGGAAGCCTGCTTATGTGGTCCCTAAAGGTCAGCCTTCCAGGATGCCAAGCAGGGTGCAGAAGTAGAGAGTGGATCTGCAGGGGCAAAGTGGAAGCACCCATCACAGCAAGCAGTCTTGTTTTGCTCTGAATTCTCCAGTGTGCCCACTTTGTTGAGTTGGCATTCATAAACAATCCCAGTACTCTTGTCTTTTCTCCCTATTTTCCAGAAGCAAAACACTGAAGTGGGAACCTGGTTCACCCCACTAATCAATTTCGTGTTGTAAGATCCCTTTTGTAAAAATTGTAGCCACACACCCACTAGTCTGACCAAAGACCACTTTATTACACGCTCCAGATGAGGAAATCCCAAGAGAAATAAGTTTTAGGCTTTCCCTTTGCAATGAAAATATTCGTAGGATGAGTTCTACCTATAGAACTTTATTGCATTCAGACTTCTGAATTTTCCAAATTGGCTTAGAAGCCTTAGGCATTTCAAAACTACCATTGCCTCCTAAATCTTTGGCCAAAAATAGACTCCCACACTGCAGACATTGGCAACTTGTAGGAAGTTAAAACTGACACTGAAATCACCCTCTGGTCAACAGCTGATAAGCTAATACCCTTGACTGCCTTTTCCAGCAGTGATCGAGCAATGGGATGGATATATCTGTGGAGTTCCAGTCATCTTAGAAAGTTTTTGCTGCTTTCCCTGAATGAAGTGCTGCAGAGCGGACACAGCTAATTGCTCGCTAGCTGGATGAGTCTGCCAAAGAGTGATGAGAGGACTGAAACTGGTGTAAGTCATCGATGTTGATAAATTGGCTCCCAACTCACCCTAGAGTGCCTGCGGGAACTCATAAGGGCCATGGTCTGTCACAAATGCAGACTCCTTAGATAAGAAGCCTGCTATACTCAGGGGAAGTAAATGTCAAAACCTGAGCCGTTGACTGCAAACTTTATATTGTTGCTCTTAATTTTCAGATGACACCACTGATGCTGATTGTGCTATGTATATGTAGGTAGGGTGGAAGCTCAGATATAGAACTTCAAGTTCAATCCATACTGTGCACTCAATAAAGATTACCTTTCAGCTTGTGGCTGCTGGCATTATTTGCAGAAACATGCAATCCTTGTTTCTCTGCTCCACCAAATGAGCTATCATTTTCTGATGTATCTGTCTTTGTAGAAATCCTTTTCAATAGTGGTGTTGGCTTTACTAATGCGAAGTTGTAGGGTATCCAGTTTACTCATGGTAATTCCACATTCCCACAACTCAGGGCATAAGGAGAAATTTTCCTTGACAATAATTAGTGCAGTTGTAATTAGGTGTTCCATATTTCTAGTCGTAGTCCATGAGCTCATTGACGATTATGTCACTCCCAGCTTACACCTTCCAAGGGCCTCCCATTGTAAATAGAACAGAACCTCCAACTAATCACCATGGTAGACAAAGTCCCTGTCTGGCATCTTTGCCCACTCTTGCACTCTGTCTGCTCTGTAGGCACCGGACTTTCCCACCATGGCCCTTGGTGCTTCCTGTTCCTACTGCAGGGAAGCATCCTGCAGCTCTGTCCCCAACCCAGTCTCAACAGTCTAGTCTCTGCTAAAATGTTTGTTACCTTTGCAGGGCTAATCTAGAAATATTCCCTTCCTTTGATCATTCCCTATCACATCACCCCGTATAGTTACTTCATGACGCCTACTGAAACTGAACGTTTAAATTGAATTAAAACGTTTTTGGTTATTGGTTACTGTCTGCTGCCTCTATTTTTTTCCCCACAGAATTCCCAGTTCCTAGCACAATTCTTAACAAATAATATTTTCTGAATATGATGAAATATTTGATGAATAAATTTCTCTAAATCTAAATTCCACTGGACCATCTATTATCTGTCTTTCGATCATTTTACAAGATTTATATGCATAATTTTGTGAAGATTGGTGCATTAGTGTGTGTGATAGTGGGTGCCGCAGTAGCAAGATGATGGGAATATAGAAGACACTGAAGACATGCCAAGTTTGCATAAGGGGGTGTGATCATTAATTTTAAGGTGTCTACCTGACTGGAATAAGGGCTACCCAGAAAACGGTAAAGAAAGCATTATTTACGAGTATGTCCATGAGGGAGTTTCCGAAAGACATTGGTATTTGAATCAGTGGACTGAGTAAAAGATCTGCCTTCAACTCTGTGGGTGGGCACCATGCAAACAGCTGAGCACACACGTAGAACAAAAAGGCAGAGTGAATTTACTCTCTCATTTCTGGAGCTGAGACACCCATCCTCTCCTGCCCACGGACATTAGAACTCTAGATTCTCCAGCCTCTGGACTTCAGGACTGGAACCAGCAGCCCCCAGGTTCTCAGGCCTTTGGCCTTTGACTGAGTTACATCACTGGATGCCCTGGTTCTCCAGCTTGCAGACGGCCTATTGTAAAACTTCTCAGCCTCAAAAACTGTATGACCCAATTCCCCCACTAAATCCTCTCATATAATATACATGTATTATATGGATAATGGATATTATATTATTATAATATTATATGGATAATGGATATTATAGTATATTAATTATATGGATAATATTACATTATATGGATAGGATATATATATGAGTATACCCTACTTATATATATAGGGGTATATATATATCCTATTGATATATATATATATCCTATTGATATATATGCATACGTGTGTGTGTGTGTGTGTGTGTGTGTGTGTGTGTATTCTATGGGTTCTTTTTTTTTTTTTTTTTTTTGGAAACCTTTACTAATACAGGGAAGGTCCCATCACCTTCTCAGATTTGAGAAATATTAGCATATGGAATACACTGATTCCCTTTTCAGCCTGTGTATGTATTCATTTTAATACAAATTAACATCACATACTAAAAATTACCTAAAGGATTAAACCAAGTTGGAAACAAATTGTCTCTGTTGACATTTTGCATTTGTGTTGTTATTTACATTTAATTGCCAAAGTGTGGGGGGGAAACATGTTCTCTTTCTCTCTCAACCAAAATCAAGAAGATCTGCTCTAATAACCACAAAACAAATGTAGGAAATGAGACTATTAGTTACCACTGGTTATTAAAAAGTACTTAAAATTTTTCTGTCTCAGTTTTCTCACAGTAAACTTCTTTCTTTATGTGGATAATAAAATGACTTTCTCAAAGTAAGAAGTATTAGCTCCTAATAGATGGTAAAATATCTTCCCTACAGGAAATTTTTCAAAGGTTTCACATTCTGAGGTCTTTCTTATTGGCACAATCACGACGAACACAATCAACTAACATATTTTGTTCACGAGGTACCCTCTGACCTTGCAGAATTAATACTGTATTTTAAACTCATGGAAAAATTCTCTCTAAGCATTAGTAGGAGCACGGCTGGTGTAGAAAGCCCTCATAATGCATTTTGAGCTGCTGGGAGTTACTATATTGGATGTTTGATGTACCCATTCAATTTTGGTTTTTGCTTTCCTCTGAAATAATTCATTTGCCTTCTAAATGGAATTATGAAAATACTTAATAAAAATGGTAATACATTCAAGGGCACATGGTTATAACTGAAGGATTGATGTAGAGAAAACTTTAGTGAGTGAAGGTAGGGGGTGGTAGGTGGTAGTTGAACGGGCGTGGGATATTCATTAAGTGATAGTAGACTTCATGACATTTTTCTTTTGAAAGATCCTGAGCTGCGGTCAGGATTCTTTTTGTAAATTTTATCTGGGGTTAATGCGTCTTTCTCTGGTAGATCTTTCATAACCAGTCACAAATCAATCAGAATACAGTAGAGAGCTGCTATTTAGAAAATTAAGCTGGAGGATGGTTTTGAAGGCTTGGACTCTCCCACCCAGTCCTAGTAAGTCTTGAAAATAAAAGCTTACAGATGAACCTCTCTGATCCCAGAGGAGTGATTCAAGGAAGGTAAATACAAATGTTCACAAATGATGAACAGTGATCAGCCTGGGAACCTAGACATTCAGCAGCAAGCTGTGGATTCTACATCCTGTCTCTCTCCCCTGCCTTCCATTTCCAAAAGAGAAATAAAAATCATGCCGTGAGAACTCAGGCCAGGAGTCTGATTCACTCTACAAGCTAGCTGGGTCCATCCTCAGCCTTTCTCGGATCTTCCCCACAACCAGTCTTCTCCCTATACTTTCTCTTTTACCTCCATCATCCTCAGAGCTTAAATGAGCCTGGAGGAAATTTGCAGTTGAAGGAGCTACTTATGGCTGCAAAGTTAATTCCTACTGGGCTATGCAGACATCTAGAAAGCTGGTAGATAGTTTTCGCAATCCTCAAAGTTGCAAATCGCCCATAGAAGTCTGGGAGGTATCTACTGTGCATTTTGATGACATCTCTCAGCTACAAAGACTGCTCACCCTTCAGTGAGGAAATGTGGTAAGCTCACATTGAGCAGGAAGAACAGTTGAATGCAGAGACTGTGTTAAATCTGCGGAGATGAATATGGAGATCCTTGGGCAAGATTGCCTTTAAAATACATGGTAATATCTCAGCATCACTTAGAGTTTAAACATCCAGGTTCTTGGGTCTCATCTAAACTTTTGGAATCAGGATTTCTGGAGGTAGAGCCCAGGAATCAGAATTGTAAATACATTTGGTTGGTTGTGTCTGGTGATTTAAAAATTACTGTCCCCCAAAATCCTGTAAAAACAAACAGACAAAAAAATCAGATCTTTTTTTAAGGGAGAGATGTGAAGACAACATTTCACTAGGCAGGCAGTTTGCAGGAGAAAAACGCAAAACTTACAGGTGGGAGAAACTGATAGTCATAATAGCTTATATTAGTAATTCTGAAATATTTGGACTTCTTTACATGAAAAAAATCTTTGAGGACACCAAAGAGCTTTTGTCTATGTGGGTTATATTTATCAATATTTATAATATTAGAAATTTAAATTGAGAAATGAAAAAATTTATGTATGAATTTATATTTAAAATAACAATAATAGCTCCATTGTATGTTAACAGAAATAACATATTTTGGTAAAAAAATAACTATGCTTTCCAAAACAAAATCATAATGAGAAAAGTGGCTTTGTTTGACATTTTTGCAAAGACCTTCCTTTCTGGCCTAATAGAATACAGCTGGATTTTCTCACCTACTTCTGCACTCAATTTGTTATGAAATCACAGGTCACGTGTGTGGCTTTTGCACACTCTTAGCCCACTAATGAGAAAGTAAGAGTAAAAAAGTTAAATCACATCTTAATGTTAAAGTGAAAATAGGTTTGGTCTTATGGACCTCCTGAAAGGGGCCCCCCAATCACAATTTGGGAACCAGTGGTTTATCTGAATAAATCAACATGATTCTAAGCTTTTTACGTTATTTCACCCTCATAACAACCTGGGGAAGGACGTGTTATTTTTTATCATTTTCCCTGTTTTGCATTTGAGGAAACTGAGGCAGAGAGACATAATACAAAGTCAGCGGCATAGCTGGGCTTACACCCAATAGTCTGTTCCCAGCACAGTAGACCTTAACTCTGCTGATATACTGCCTCTGCGTTAGGAGAGCTGAGGGCAGGCATACTCCCAGGACATCTGAAAGAAGAATTTAGGCAATCAGCAAGGTCTGGGGAGACTGATGGGCCTGGAACTGACAGCCAAGTTTCCCTCAGCATCCCCTACATTCCCGCAGCTGGTGGCTCCTGGGCTCTGCTCCCACCAGCTGGGCTTTGCTAGTGTGGGTTTAGTTCCCGAGGGGAAGGAATCCTTTGGCAGAAAACATGTCTCAAATATTTAAAACACTGAGTTGCAAATCTAGGAACAAGGAGAAGGAGATGTCTCCCCTTCACGTACGTAGCATCTAAACTAGAGGCAGCAGTGTTTTCCACATCTAACTTCTGTCTTTTGAACTTAGACCTGTCCTAGGGAAACAAGGTCCTCAGTAGAACAGCATTCACAAAGGCGTGAATTCTCTTAGAGTTTTTCAACATACCAAACGGCATGATAGGCATTAGAGTAACTATACATTTAGAACAAATAAAATGTTAGAAGCTTTTAAAAGTTGCCATGTAGAGAAACTTAAGACCTATTAAAAAGGTACTACAAATAGATGGCTGTCATATTTTTAGGTGGAAGTATTTTCTTATCCTGGCAACACAGGATTTAACGTCCCTCAAATTGGTATGAAAATAGTGTTGTATCTTTTTTATTTAAATAGGTAATGTTTTTCTCATCACATAATATTTAGAAAACTTTATCTGTAGGTTGTCTAGGCCTCAACTGAAGTAATATTATGGCTTTCTGTTAAGGAAAAATCAATTAGTATGTTAAGCCTTTAGACAGTCTTCTCTTCTTGCTATTCGATGGTTTAACAGACTGCGTATCCTATCACATAAAAAGAAAAAAAGAAAAGGAAAACACACACATACAAATACTCCTACTTAAGGTTTGATAAAACACAATGAGGTATTGCCCCAGCCGTTGGTGATAAAGACCATACTGGCAATGAAGAAGTTAAATATTGTCAGCTCTCTCTCTCTCTGACACACACACACACACACACACACACACACACATCTTAACCAAAGAATCATTTGGATCTCTAAGCTGTTTCTAATTAGGTGTTAATGACCTCAGAGTAGTGTGAACTTACCATGTTCTGTACCTCATTTGATTTCCCCCCTGGGCTGAAACAATACCATGAGGACTGAAATGAAGATAAAATACACCTCTATGGTCCCAACGGTGATGGGATCAGAGATATATAAATACAGAGAAGTCCAGAGGGAAAGATGATTATTAACACTAGTTCCATGACCTATGCTAACCAAGAAATGAAAGTAATTATAGAGCTTTCGTGTGTTGGGCGAGGGGACCCTCATCTCTGAAATGATGAATGAAACTATGACACAGAGGCCACTGGCACTGAGAGGCTGGGGCTCTGGGGGCGGACGTCTCCTCTGTACAGCAGGAACGGAGCAAAGGAACACGAGATCCCTGAGAAGTGTCAGAAAAAATATATTTTTCCTGAGGCATAAAGGCCACACTTACCATTAACTTTTGCAACAAGAACTAAGTAAATGAGAAAATAATCATGTCAGAAAAAAATAGATATATTATGTATGGGATCTGATGGCAAAATGCCACACTACCCAAGAGATTTCCAAAGTGATTTTACACAGAATTTAAAGTGAATTCCAAGTGATCAAATGTGTCTTTTAGTTGGTGAACTGAATAACCATTAGATGCAGATGTCTCTGTGCCTTCTGTACCCTGGCTTCCTGTTTGTGAATTAGTGAGGATGAAGTAAATATTTAATCTCTAGTAGCCCTGAGTGCAGCATTTTATTTGCATTTTAAAGTTTGCACTCATTATAACTCTATAATTGTCAAATGCCTCACATTAAGTACTCACGTGGTTGTTTAAAAAAATAAAGCATTGTCCACAGATTTTAGCCAAGGATTTGGAGGAAAAAGAGTTACCAAACAGACTCCGTATCGTGTAATACAAGACGAGTCATTTTGAAGTGCCATTCTATCCGTAAATCTTGAATAGACTAAAAAATATGCCTTAAAATAAAGTGGCCTGGGTATCATGTAAAGAGGAGAAAGGAAAAAAGAAAAAACGCAGAAGAGGAGGAATAAAAGTCTGACAACATGACGGGACAGGGTATTGACACAGTCGGTAAAGTCACCATGATTAAAATAAAGTAATTCACTTTGAACTAACTCTAGATGACTCCTCTAATGTGCCTGAGGATTGTCTGCGGCACGCCCAGAGGATATCTTTTGTGCTTCAGTTAGCAATAAAGCTTGGAAATAATTATTCTTCCAAAGATAAACATAGATAACGGAGAAAACCAGAAACGTCTGGGCTCTCCCACGTTCGCCTACAAGTACTGCAGCTATGACGCTTAGGTGTACTAATTTAAATCCATCAGTCAATGAATTTAGGTAATTAACATGGCACAACATGTTCCTTAGCATGCATCCAAAATATAATCAAGAGTGATAAAGATAACTCTCTGACTTGTGAAACCTACTAATTTGGCTAAAATCATTGGAACTAACAAACTTGAGGTCAGTTGACCTTTGGGTCTTTTCCAGTGGCTTTCCACATGGTAATATTTCCCACTTTGATTTATTTAGTAGAAAAACTAAACAATCTGTTAGGAACAGATGTTTTGCAATCTTTTGGTCGGAGAACAGTGGTGGGATTAAGGAGCACCTGTGATTCTTATACTTCTTGTTCTGCCCTGATAAACAGGTAGCTTCCATTCCAGAGGGCTGCTTGATGTCCGCTCATCTGAGTACCTACCGTGTTATTAAAGAAAAGCCACACACAGACACACACACACCACCCCCCAGACTTGTTAAATATCCTGCTTCCCCCTTCTCTGAAGTTATTTATGAGGTAATTTTTCAACTTTATTTTTACAGGTTAGTCATTGTGTCACATCACTCATTTCTACAATTTTTGGTGCAGAAATGAATTGTCTCTGTACTTCAGTGGGATAAATATCTTCCTTTTTAATGCTTTTACGCCTCTGTGTAAAAGACAGTGAACTGAGGTACATGAAACTATGCTAAAAAGCTCGATGTAACTGCACTAGGTTGACAAAACCCGGGATTAAAATTCAGTCACGCATGCAAAAAATGTAATAAATGAATGGAAATGTATGTTATGGGTCATTTCTGCTTTAATGGCACCTTTGTGCTATAGAATCCAAATAGCAACAGTCATCTTATACACGCCTCACAAATGAAATAACATTAGGTTTCTAGGAACCTAATGACACACAGCTAGCCCAAAATGAGGATTGTGCCCATAGATTTATTTCATGCAAACATACAGGGTGTGTAGAGACAACTTATCAGTCAAAAAGGGGACTCCATTTAAAGCTGCTGCAACATTGATGTGGTTCGTCTCCATTTTTCAGCGAAATAGAGGTTTTCTTTTTCACTTCACATAAAGTCTTCAACTTGCTCAAGCCTTCTAATAAATTGCAAACTCTGTAACAATATATCTTCTATTGTGCTGCTTGTTACTTTACGAAGACAGGAAATTAAAGCAATAAAACACTTTCTAAATGATAGGGTACACTCAGGCAGTCGTTTTTCTTATGTTCCAGTATTATTCTTCAAAAGACCTTTTATGGTACTAATATTAAATTCTTTGAAGTCTGAAGAATCTGTTGAAAGTGTGGAATTTCTAAAATATAGAGCTCAAATATTGCAGCGCCTCATACATTTGTTAAAATCGAATATGTGGTGGAAATTTTTAAAACACAAAATACAATGCAGTTAAATAATATATGACCAGATACATTTCAAATCCACATTAGAGAGCCCATTGTGTGGAAACTGGATTGAATGCTCAAGAAAATCTATTTTGCTTTTTCTCACCTGATGTGGCCAAATGCACAACATATGTGGTCATTCATATAAAAGGCTGGGAACTATGGAACGAAGCACGGAGAAGCAGACAAATATAATGGTCACTTATGCAGCGTGTTCACATAAAGGAAATTGAATCAGGCTCATGGGGCTGTGCATTCTTTATTAACCTCCTAGAAAAAGGTCAGACAACTGTTCTCCTAATGGTAAGAACACTAAGTGAAAAAGTCTAAAAGAGAAATGCAAAAAACTGCAATATATTCTAGGCAGTATATTAAGCAACTGTATTAAAAAGCTTACAGAGTGATGTGGAAAAAAACCCTCTTCACTGGCTATTATGAAAAAAGCATCTTATTTCCCTTCCAGCAATAAGCATTTCTATCCAACTTTATGGAAAAAAGAAGTCAAAAGAAAAATAAACTAGTAAGAGTAAAACCATTGACAGTGTAAATTTAGGAGAAATGGGAGCTCATAAAAACGGCCTCCTCACCCCCTTTTCTGTTTCAGCACTTCCTTCACACCCACATTCCTGGCCCCTGCCTTACTCCCTACCCTACTCCTTTTTTTCCCCTTACTTCCTTTCTCCTTTCCTGTCTTCCTTTTGCAAAGGTTTGCACAAAAAGCAGGAATGAAGAGTGAGTACTCCTTCCCCTCATACTAAGCAAAACCGTAACTTCCCATTAGGTAAAATTGCCGAGTTGCTTGTGTGATTTTCGTCTTTGGAAACCCCCAAAACAGTGGCTCTCTTTGTTGATGTGTCATTTTAAACAGCTACTATTAGCGGGTGTGAATGTTCCAATTAAATAGCACATGCTTTTTGAAGAGATGCTAAGCTTTTCCAATGTCAGGCTCCATCCCAATCAACTACCTTTCCTCGCTCAGCTGATTAGGGTCAGCACTTTAAAATTAAAAAGCAAAGCCCTTGAACCCCTTGACACAGCTTCATACGCACTTGATAACATTCAAGGATCTTCTACACACCAAAGGGAAGTCAGACTGGGTCTGTATGCTGCTAATTTACTTCAGTTCTTTACCAATTCCTCTCCCTGTCTCAGAAATACCTTTCTGATATTTTTTGAAATATTTTCCTGAATTTCCAGTGATAAAATTAGCCGGTCCAATCCAAGGCATTAGTTCTCAATAACTTCTGTTTCCTTTCTCATATGACACAGTTACTCTCTGCTGGAACTCCAAAGCAATCAACTACCTGGGGATACTTTTCCCCAGAGACCTTTCTTAGCACACTACATCAATGAACACAAAAGCAACTTTGGACCCCCTCCAATACACTGCACGACCATCTGGTCTCCTGGAACCTCTTGGAGAGGGGCAGATTTCAATTTGTCAAAACAATGCAAATTCCTCAAATTATTTTCAAATTATGCATGTTTGCTTTAATGTTGTACTCATTCATCTCTTAAAAGGTACTTTGCAAATTTCTCTAAATTGTTTCTCTAGCCTGCATGCTCTCTCTTGCTCTCTCCCTCTTAGGCAAGTAGAAATTGGGGTTACAGAGGCTAAAACTTACCTCTAAAGAAACAAGAGTTTGTAAAATCTAAATAGCTTACTATCCAAAGGTGACAACAAATTATTAGATGTGTTTGCACCTTACAAACCTACATGCCAATTGCTCAGTGATTACTTTGGGAACATAATTTTTATGCAGCAAAATATTTGATATGATTTGAGAGGTACCAAGTAGACTTTTGCATCAAGGAAAAATGTCCCAATTGTCACCATTTGCCACTCTTTTCCTTTAAGGCTTTGAAAATTCCTGATAGAATATAAGCAATTAATTTGAAAGTATTAATAAATGAAGTCATTTTTCACTCATTATAATAAATTGATTTGGCAGAGCAATTTGGCTTGAAAAGTTTTGATGTGAGAATAAACTGCAAGAAAGATCTAGAGCGGCGCTGGCCAGTGTGGTAGCCACTGACCACAGGCGGCTATTTAAATTTAAATGATGGCCAGGCACGGTGACTCACTCCTGTAATCCCAGGACTTTGGGAGGCTGAGGCAGGCAGATCACGAGGTCAGGAGATCGAGACCATCCTGGCCAACATGGTGAAACCCCGTCTCTACTAAAACACAAAAAAATATTAGCTGGGCATGGTAATCTCAGCTACTCGGGAGGCTGAGGCAGGAGAACCGTTTGAAGCCAGGAGGTGGAGGTTGCAGTGAGCCGAGATCGTGCCACTGCACTCCAGCCTGGCAAGAGAGTGAGACTCCGTCTCAAAAAGAAAAAAAAAAAAAATTAAATGCCAATTAATTAAAACTAAATAAAATTCAAGAAATTGAGTTCCTCCGTCATTAGCTGCATCTCAAGTGCTCCATAGCTGCTTATGGCTAGTGCCTACTGTATTAGTCAGCACTGACATAGACTATCACCATGAAAGCTCTACTGGACAGTCTGGTGAACAAAAACATAGGCTGCTCCAAGGGAAGAGTGGCTGATAGTATATGTGCAGGAATATTCTTGATCTTAAAGATGGCAAATGGCCCCCAAAGCAGGCAGGATAAGGGCCAAAGACCAAATTCCAACTCTGTCTACTTTTGGCTGAGAGCAGGCCCTTTCCATTAGTACGAAGCATAACTGGAAGTTGTGAGAACATTCTGGTTCACTTGGTTTTGTATAAGTGAACAAGCTTGTGTTATTTTATTCATTGTGTTTGGCTGGCTGCTATCCACTCTTGTCTCTGCTGGTAACGATCATCTCTCCACTATTCTCAGCCAAGCGGTGTAAGTGGAGCTGATTCTACCCATGGCTCCCGCAAATGGCCCTGGGCTGGTGAACCGAGTCTTGCAACTCCCTAGCCACAGTAAGAGATTAAGACATTCTGCCCTTGGAGCCCTGGCTATGAGGCCTCATTAGAAGTCATTCTGGCCTTCTGCTTGAGTGGCTAAGTATGAAAAGCTCCTCCTTCTTTTGCTAGAGTTGCTAAGAGGAGACCACATAAGACTAGCAACCATCTTACCATACAAAAAAGACTGCCTGGCACTGGTGGCTACAGAAAGAACAACAAGAGCAGAGGAAATGAGAATCAGGCTCTAGTACCTGCATGTGAGGCCATGGATCCATTCATGAGCAAAGCCAGATTTTCCCTGAGTAATGCAGTTCTCTCCATTTCTTACAGACCACAGTCTTCTCTCTCATGAATGAATATGCACATACACACACAGACATGCACACAGTATGTAACTGAGAACCAAGCATTGTCTAGAGTAGATTAAAGGGCATTCTCAGCAAAGAGAAGAACACCTGCAGAGGTCCTGGGGCTGGAAAGCAGCTGAAAAACGGAAGGAACAAGAGGAGGTCAGTGTGGCTGAAGAGTTGCAAGCTGGGTTGGTTGGCATGGCACAGAGAGAGACAGGGGCATGCTGTGGAGTTATTCAAACAGTGGGACAACATGGACATTGACTGTCCCTTTGGCTGCTCCAGTAGATTGGAGAGAGACAAGACCGGAAACACGATGTCTGCTTAGGGGACTCTGGTGGCAGATTTTGGTGGATTGGACCAGGAAAATGGCAGCAGGGTGGAGCAAAGCAGGTGTATATAGGATGTAATCTGAGGGTAGAATTGAAAGGTCTTAGAATCAAGAGTTTTGGCTGGAGCATCTGGATGGGTACTCATTTACCACCATGAGGAACTGAGGAAGGAAAAGAAAGTGGAACTCACTTCAGCACCCTCAGGTCATTTGAAGAAAAGGATGATGTGGACGGTCCAAATTAAATCCAAACCTATAAATGAATCCCATGCTCTCAGAGTTGGAAATTGCCCCGAGGAAAAATCAAGTCAAAATTTAACTCATGCTTGAATCCCATAGGCCCAATACTATCAAAAGATTTTAACTGCTAACTTGTTTTTGGACAATTAGGGTACCACTTATTAGATTATAATAATGTTCCAAAAATACCATTTCTAAGATGAGAGTTTGATTCTATTCTAGTACTTTTCTAGTACTCTTGCATTATATGCTTTCTCTTATGCTTAAGAATATGAGTTGATTTTATTATAAATGTCATATGTGGTGCTGGTTTGCTTGTTCTTTCTTTTCTTTCTTTCTTTCTTTCTTTCTTTCTTTCCTTTCTTTCTCTCTCTTTCTTTCTTTCTTTCTTTCTTTCTTTCTTTCTTTCTTTCTTTCTTTCTTTCTTTCTTTCTTTCTTTCTTTCTTTCTTTCTTTCTTTCTCTGTTTCTCTCTCTCTCTCTCTCTCTCTTTCTTTCTTTTGATGGTGTCTCGCTTTGTTGCCCAGGCTGGAGCGTCGTGGGGCGATCTCAGCTCACTGCAACCTCCGCCTTCCAGGTTAAGAGATTCTCCTGCCTCAGCCTCTGGAGTAGCTGGGACTACAGGCACACCCGGCTAATTCTTTTTTTTCTTTTTTCTTTTTAGTAGAGATGGGGTTTCACCATGTTAGCCAGGATGGTCACTATCTCCTAACCTCGTGATCCACCCACTTCGGCCTCGCGAAGTGGTGGAGTTAGAGGCGTGAGCCACCACGCCGGCTGGTTTGCTTGTTTTCTTACCTGGTCCCTTACGTATTTCTTTCTTTACCCCATGAGCTAATAGGGTTACATAACATTGTACACTAATGCTGCATTTATAATTTCAAGTGACTCTAAATCACATGGTGGATGTAAGATTACATGACTATATTACACCACAGTAATAATAATGGCCATCATTTAATAAACACTTTGCGCAATAACACACATTAAATCAACCTCCACAACAATAATATGGGGTAGTCTTATCACCCTATTCTCCAGATGAGGAGAGTGAGGTGCAGCAAGGTTAAATGATTCCCCAACGTCTCAGACAGCTGAGATGCCAGCTAGGACATTTTCACCCAGAAGCTACAGCCTGATTCTGTGCTACCTCTTAGGCTATATGACTAGGATGCATTCCACACCAGATCTCAGTCAGATCTTGGTAAACAGTCGTGGTGATGAAATGCCACACATAAAGCATTCTTACCTTTCTGTTTAGAAAACAAGTACTCTTACAGCAGAATGTCAGCTGAGGAGGCAGGGGCACTGAGTAGGTAGGATGGCCACACTCTGGCGTGGGCACTCCAGAACGGGTACACTTTTTGGACTTGCTGCTGGAGGTGGGCTCCAGTGGCCCCGAGGAACGCACAGCCATCCCATTTGAGGCTTGAAGCAGGAAAATGTGTCTTAAGTAAGAGGGTGGGGGAAGACTGAGATGTCCCCCCTGGGAAACAGTAAGGAGATCATTTGTATTTTGAAGGGTATCACAGGGCTTTCTGTTTTGTTCTCCAAATGCAAGCGAAATTTCTGATTTTTGTTTTGTTTTGCTTTTGAGTGCCTATTGGTTAGCAGAGAGATTACTTTATTCAATGAAAGATCATTCAGATATCTTTTTCTTTCTTTTCTTTTCTTTTTTTTAGACGGAGTCTCGCTCTGTCGCCCAGGCTGGAGTGCTGTGGCGCGATCTCGGCTCACTGCAAGCTCCGCCTCCCGGGTTCACGCCATTCTCCTGCCTCAGCCTCCCGAGTAGCTGGGACTACAGGCACCCGCCACCACGCCCGGCTAATTTTTTTGTATTTTTAGTAGAGACGGGGTTTCACCGTGTTAACCAGGATGGTCTCGATGTCTTGACGTCGTGATCCACCCTCCTCGGCCTCCCAAAGTGCTGGGATTACAGGCGTGAGCCACCGCGCCCGGCAATCATTCAGATATCTAATCAGGCCTTCCTATCTGTTAACGAAGACTTCTATTTTATTACATAGCTATGATAGGTCCAGGCAACTCAAAGCTCTATCCACAATAGGAATTTCTTTAGGCAAGTCGAAGTCATCTTTATTTCTAGCCTCTTTCATGCAGTTTATTAGTGATGGCAGATTCTCTTCTGAAGCTAGTACTGAAAGTTCTATTTTCTCTATGATTTTATTTCCAACGGGTTTTAAGATTTTTGAAGGCAGGGATTATGTCTTTATGCTTTTTTATACTTATCAAAGCAGCTTCTATAGTTCCTTGCTGGCAGTAGGTGCTTGTTGGATGTGAAGAAGCACTTTAATATTTCATTATTTCTATATTTCATATCATTTTTTACTGAGACTTTAGAGGAAACATTGAGGGACTAATTTTCTATGCTCACTGCTGCTGTATTTGCTTTTCTCCTTGGACTTAACTTTTGTCCAGGATTAGAAAGCCCTGGAAAGTGCCGATGGTATTGTTGTCTTTCTTTCTTTTATGTGACTGTTGATTTCTTTGGGGCAAGCAAACCAGTCCTAACTGAAGTGCTAATAATGACAATATCAAATATATAAATCATGCTTTCGGGTTGATAGTTCTCCTTTATACCCATCACCGCACTTCCATAGACGCCCCCAACAATAAAATTATTGCCCTATTAGGATCTCCAACTGAAGTTTTCTGCTCTCAAGATTCACGCCATGATATGTGCAAGATCAGCTGATTGTCTCAACTGGAAATCAAAAAGTTCTACTGCTTCATATAGAGTCAGTAAATGAATATTGCTATAATTTCAACAAGTATGGCATTTTGTCATTAAGAGCCTCTTCATTTCCTAGGAGTTGCATGTTGAGTCATCCAGATAGCCTGGTTACATCCCTAATAAACGTTTGGAGAGTGGCAGGAAATAGCCATTTCAGCAGGTGGCACCGCACATATTTGCAGTGTCTGAACCTCCTTTAGGCAACACAGTTGAAGGCAGCATGATGAATGAGCAACCACTGATTGGTCCTATTGTGCATTTCTGATTCTTCTTCTTTTTTTAAAAAAATTTCTAACTTTAGTATGCAGAAGATGCTGTTAGTGATCAAAAGCAGATATGTGGCATATGCACTAAGCTAGACTATAACAATGGCATGTGGTCAGATGATTCTTGTCTTCAGGACTTATTGGGCTGAGAGAAAGCTCTTATAGTGATCCATATGTCCAAATTGGCTAGAGATGTTGACATTTACTCCTTAATACTAACACCCTGAGTTTTAGATGTACCATACAAAGAATAACTAGTACAATTCTGCCACCTCTTTTTCCCTGCCTATTTCTTCTTAACTTTGAGTGAAATAGTTCTCAAGAGTGGATGACTTGTCTAGCATCACACAAGATGGCTTTTGACAGATATTAAGAATATTTCAATTTCTGATGATGTAGAATTTCCATTTCAAGTTTAGACTTAATATAAAACTTGTCACTAATGACTCAAAAAAAATCTTGGCAAAATCTCATCACAAATGATGGTTTGCAATACCGAATACTAACTACGATGCAAGAAAAACTCTTCAAAAGCAATCACCTCAGAAGGAACCAGAGAAATGCAAATGAAGGCAACAATAAAATGCCATTAACCTTCATCTGATTGGCAAAAATAGTGAGGACAAAGCTTGCTGGGTAATGGATGTAAATCAATGGAATTTCTTTTAAATGTTGCTGTGGGAGTCTAAATTGTTACATGCACTTTGGAAAACACTTTATCTCATAAAGTTGAGTATTTATATATTTTCCTGCTCAGCAATTCAATTTTAAAGATATTGTTTAGTTTTAGTTGCTTTTCACTTTATAAAAAGGTTATTATAGGGGTTAAATTTTGGCATCCAAAAGATTTGTCCACTGGAGACCTAAAAATATAACCTAATTTGGAAAAAGGGCCTTTGCAGATATAAATTAAAGATCACAAGATGAGATTTAGGGTGGACCCTACATCCAAAGACAAGCATCTTAGAAGAGAAGAGGATACCTAGAAGAGGTGATATGCAGCTGGAGGCAGAAATTGGAAGGATGTTTCTACAAGATAAGGCATGCTGTGTGTTATGGACTGATTCATGTCCCCCTACCCCTGAAATTCATAGGTTGAAGCCCAACCCCCAGTACCTCTGAATGTGATTGTCTTTGCAGATAAGGTCTTTAAAGAGTTCATTAAGTTCATATGAGCCCAGGAAGGTGAGCTCCAGTCTAACGTGACGGGGCCAAAATGTAACCCCTATAATAACATTTTTATAAAGTGAAAGGCAACTAAAACTAAACAATATATTTAAAATTGAATTGCTGAGCAGAAATATATATAAATACTCAACTTTATGAGTAAAGTGTTTTCCAAAGTACATGTAACAATTTAGACTCCCACTGCAATGTCCTTATAAGAAGAGGACATTAGGACATAGAGATACCAGGGATGTGTGCATGCAGGGGGCTGATGATATGAGGACATAGCAAGATGACAACCGTCTGCCAGCCAAGGAGAGAGGCCTCAGAAGGAAGCAATCCAGTCAGCTTCTTGACCTTGGACTTCTGGCCTTCAGAATTGTGAAAAAAATAAATTTCAATTTGTTTAAGTCACCCAGACAGTGGTATTTTGTTATGGCAACCATAGCAAACGAACATACCAGAGGTTGCTGGTAACTACCAGAAGCTAGAAGAGAGGTATGGAGTAGAGTACAGCCCTGCCAATACCTGGATTTCAGACAGCTGGCCTTCAGAACTGGGAGAAGATAAATTCCTGTTTTGTTTTTAATCACCCAGTTTGTGGTCATTGGTTACAGCAGCCATAGAAAACTAATGCAGGTATCCCACCTGGGAGAAATTCTTGCCGATGTGCACCGGTAGTATTGCTCTTAGATCAAGGCAGATGGGACCCCACTCTGGGCTCTGCCCACTGGAGGAAGCTGCAAATCTCAAACATGGAAATGCAAAGGGCCATCCTATCCCCTAGACCACCACGCTTCTGTGACCTGAGTGGGCAGAATAAGCAGAAGCTAGACCAGACTCTAGCACTTCTGGGAGGAGAGCAGACCCACCTGAACCCAAATTGAGACTAAGTCAAGCTTTGTTTTTTTTTTTTCTTTTTGGTACTATAAGACATTTTCTTGAAAATTGGAAAATGGTGCTAATGAGAATGACAGGCAAGGAACTCACCAGGTACCATCACAAGTCGAAGGATGCCTGTCTGAATGTGAGAGAGTGGGTGTGTGTCTACGGCAGCAGGGAGCAGCCACGGCCCTGGGATATCAAAGAAAGAATGGCTCCCACCCAGAAGCCCCAGCATCAAGGGCCAGGCAATCAGAGTCCCCAGGAAATGCATACTGCCTCCCTTAGGCAGTTTTGAGAGGTACTTAGGACTATGTGAAAATTTCAAGTCAGAAATGCAAGGAGCTAGGGAAAGTGTTTGCCTGCCTTGGCTTCCGGGAAAACTTGACTTAGTCTGAACTTGGGTTCAGGAGGGTCCAGTCTTCTCTCAAAAGTGCCAGGGCCAGGAACAGGCTGTGGGTCTCTGGGTATAAGGAGGACTGGGGCAGTGGTTGCAGCAGGATTTACAACACTTAGTATGAGATAACCATGTGCGAGCCTCCATTTATCCTCTTGCTCTGGAGCCCTCAGATTTTAGAGGTAGGTCTGTGTCAATCAGAATGTTCAAAACAGCATTCTGTGCAATAGCAAAAACCTGGAAACAACCCAAGTGTCCCCAGAAGAATGGATGAATTCACACAATGGTATATTACACAGCAGTGAAAATGATTGAATCACAACAATAAGGAACAATGTAGCTTAATCTTAGCAATATAGTATTTGGTGACAAAAGAAAATCACAGGAGATTACATGCAGCATTAGCTGTATAAGTCTGAAAATAACCAAAACTAAAAATATCTGATTGTTAATCATACACACGGATGTGGGTTAGAAGAAAGAGGGCGATACAGTCACGATTCAGAGGAGGGGTTTCTCTGGTCTGGGATACAGGGAAGGAACTCACCGGTAAATGTAAGTTATTGCGAATTGTCTAGGTCTGGGGCTTGTAAGATATATTCACAAGTGTTAATAAATTTGTGTAATAAATAAGTAAAAAAGGAATAAATAATAAAAGAAGGTCATAGATGAGTAAAATATAGAGATGAAGCAAGTATTATTTAATTTTGTGCACAAATGGTCAAATAATTAAAATACAATAAAATTAGCAATTACCTTTTCCAATGCAGTGTTCTTCACTCCTAAATCTGATCTTATTTTTTAAGGTGCTATTACCACACCTTGCCCAGATAGAATAAGCACAGAGGTAAAAAAAATACTAGAGAGCTATATTAATTACTTAGTGCATCAAAATTCTTGCTTGTATATACAAATGCAGTTGTGTAGGTAACAGGAATATTTCAGTGGTAGGAGAATGTGTGCAAGTTACTTTACCACTGATAAGTTGTGTTCAGTGTCTCTCTTATTGTCCAATAATTTGCCTGTAACAAAGAACTGGATCATGTAATTTATTGTGGCCTTTGAGAATGTTTCTCTGTTTGCCCTCCTTAACCATCGACGTTACAGTGTCCTGCTGTTGCTTTTGTTCCGTTTTTTAATGTGGCATTTATAATTACAGTGTGATTCACTGAAATCGTCTCTCTTTGTGCTCTACGTCTGCTGTTTGCACAGAACGAAGGGAATAATGGTACACTTATTCAATTGGGGTGCCTTGAGATAATGAGGTCCTTGAATAAGGTAGCTCTGCTCAATGTGGTTCCTTTATTCTCTTTAACTTGGTAGAAATATTCTACCTATGTGCTTGTTAGTATTTGGGGATAACTCGATATTTTTGCCCCTGCCTGGATACTTACACAACCTTTCACCTAACTTGTCAGTTTCAACCATAGTTGCTGAGAAAATAAAGCTGAATGAAAAGCTTCAGGTAGTTAGACTGTCCATTGGTTAACATTAAGCACTATTTTTTGAAAAGGGCAAGGTAAGTAAAAGAAGACAGAAAATTTTGTTTTCATCAAAATTTTCACCAGAGCTATAATATTACTGTACATACATTTGAAAAACCTGCGTGTTTAAAAAGAGTCCAACAGTCTCTTATTTTCATAATACTTGAAAAATGGCAAATTGTTCCTTGAATTAATAAGCAAATGATTACTCTCTTCATACTCATATTTTCATTCTGGTCAGAATTTCATAGCTGTATTATTACAAGATGTAATCTATTTCACTTTTATGGTTTTCTTTTTTTTTTTTCTTATGCTTGTTTAATGATGAAATCAGGATATGTTAAACATTGGGCTTTTGATCATGGAATAATGGTTACACAGGCAACATCTAAAATTCTTTGCCTCAGTTTCAGATGTTTACCTTTGTCAAAATATCTTTTCATTGTGTCCCATTAAATCATAAAAAAATCCTTTAAAAATATTCTTAATTAAAAAAATCTAAAGAGGAGTAACATTAACATTTCTTCTATTTAGCTGGGGGTTAGGGGAAAAAATGAGCTTTGTTCAGAATGTTGTCATTATCACCCCAAATCCAATGTTGAGGAAGGTGGTCAACCACTGTTGTGGGAAGGATAGAGATTTTAACTGGGATCTGTAGTACACGTAGTTCAGGAATGAAAGCCCTAGAGCCTTAACTGAAACTGTGACTATGAAGCTGCTTAGAGAAATACTATGGGATATTAATAGCTAGAGTTAGCAGTTTGTTGAATTTTGTGTTGTAAACGGAGAAGAGAGGGAGTAAGAGAAATGTAGAAGAAAAAGTAGATCATGGAACTACAAATTCAGGGAAATTGCATTGCTTAGCACGTGAAATTAGCCTATTTTGATTAGTTTAATTTCCAAATGTCTGTCCGGTATTCAGTAGACCACGTCCTACTAATACCCTAGCAGACAAAGTTAGTGGTGCCCACTACATCATACATCTGCCAGAAGCCTGCAGAGATCTGGGGATGACCCACAGAATGGTATCAAATTTCCTCCTTGAGCCTGATTGCTGGAGATGAGTAATATTATTCTTAAGGCGAAATGCATTAGAAACAGGGTGGCAAAAATAAAACCTTCCAGAACATCTCTCTCTTTGATATTGGAAAAGCAGAAGGATTTTTTTCCCATAACCTTCTATGGCAACTCTGGAGCTGAATTACTGATTGATGGAAACATTTAAAACTGAGAAACATTTTGGACTTGTCTATGTTAATCAAAACTACAGCTTTAGCTCTTCCCAGTGTGTTTCAAAACAACGGGAACTCTGATTTATTGAGGGAACCTTTGGTAAGCTATTTTACAACACTCCTTCTCCAGGGAGACTCAGTGGTATATCAATTAGGCAATACGTGACATTCTGAAATATTTCATAGACAACTGTTAAGGAATATTTAAATGGGATTAAAATATAGCCTTAGATATGTTAATGCTTGAAAAAAAGGAAAAGAAATGTTTCCTCAACAGGCAGAAATTTAATAAAAGATAATATACAGATGTTGGCAGATAAAAGATAAAGAGGAACATAACGTAGAAAGAAGCGCTGGTGTTTTCCTAAAAGTAGACGTGCTGAGTTGTCAGGTGTTTTTGAGATTAAATCTAGCACCACGTTTATGCCCTGTTGCAAACACAGTTTAGGGAAGGCTTAAATAGAGTAAATTTGATTTAGAGTTAAGTGACTTACTTCAATCACTAAATAGTAAGACTGAATCTAATTTTTTCCTAAAGAAATAAATACTCATTGTTTAAGAACACACTATTCTTTAGCAGAAAGATCAAGGAGGATTTAATGTTAGGCATGGTAGCCATGTAATAACATTTAAACAAAAGTTTCATGAAACAATGGTTGAATACAACTGTACAAAAGGTTTTTTTTTAACTTTCATTTTAAGTTCAGGGATATATGTGTAGGTTTGTTACATAGATTAACTTGTATCATGGGGTTTGCTGTACAGATTAATATTAAGTACTACCAAATAGTTATTTTTCCTGATCCTCTCCCTCCTCCCACCCTCCACCCTCCCAAAAGGCCCCAGTGTATGTTGCTCCCCTCTAAGTGTCTGTGTGTTCTCATAATTTACCTCCCGCTTATAAGTGACAACATGTGGTATTTGGTTTTCTGTTCCTGGGTGAGTTTGCTAAGGATAATGGCTTCCAGCTCCATCCATGTTCCTGCAAAGGACATGATCTCATTCTTTTTTATGGCTGCATAGTATTCCATGGTGTTTATGTACCACATTTTCTTTATCCAGTCTATCATTGATGGGCATTTAGGTTGACTCTATGTCTTTGCTATTGTGTACACAAGTTTTATATATGAGGATCTTATTTTTTTTAAATAGTTCTTTTTTTTAGCTACAAATAAAGAGGTTACTTTAATTGGGATCAGGGTCAAAAACTTAATAGTTGGGTTTCATTAGTGAGCAAAAGTTAGCTTACATGTTGGCTGAATACATGGTGTGAATGGTAGAGACCTGGAGGCGGCTACTCAACTTCTCCTTGTTGTGGCTCTGAGGAAAGGCAGACCTAGTGTTGCCAGATGTTCAGGATTTTTAAAGACACCCAAAACTGGGATCTGTAAGTAAAATCTTCCTGTATTTGGAATCAGTTTACAAACAAACCGTGCAAGCTTGTGAAAACACATCTAGAGACAAAATATCAGCTACTTCTAGATCAGATTTGGAGAATAATTTTGCCATGTTAGGAGTTTAGGAATAAATAGATATTATTCACATTGTTTCCTTTAACTAGAGCAATACATGTATGCATTTTTCATAGTCTACAAAAACAAGACTTCAGTTACTTATAATTTGGTTTTATTAAGCATCTGCTTTGTGTCAGGAACTGTTCTGCGTGTTGTGGATCTATGAATGATTGAGATAAACAAAGCCCCTATCTTCAAGGTGCTTATGACCTTGTGAGGAGTGATAATAAAAGTCGTAAAGACAAACAAATGAGAAATGCCCAAATACTTTTTAAGAGCAAGGAAAAGAGAAGTAATGTGATCCAGTGACTTGGGTGGGAGCACTCTCGCATGAGTGGCCTGGAATAGCTCTCTGTGAAGTGTTATCTGAACCGAGACCTGAATGACACGTGGATTCAGTCATGCTAAGATTTGAGAGAATGGAGTTCCAAGTAGAAGGATGAGCAAGGAAAAATCCTCTAAGATAGAATGCACCTACTGTGTGGGACAAAAAGATAGGAGGTCATTGTGGCTGATTTTGGTGAGAGAAGAGAAAAGAGCAGAGAACAAGTCTGAAGAGGAAGTCAGGACCCAGATCTTGTAGGGCGTTTTAAACCAGCGTTTTTTAGACTATAATGCACATATGAGTCACTTGGGGGACCTTCTTAAAACACCATTTTTGGTTCATTATGCCTGAGATTGTATATCACTAACAAGCTTCCAGATGAAATCCACGTTGCTGGTCCTCCTACCACACTTCCAATAACAAAGCTTTGAATAACGGTGAAGAGTTGAATTAAATTCTACTCTTGCTTGTTTTTTTTTTTTTTTTTTTTTTTTGGGATGGAGTCTCGCTCTGTCACCCAGGCTGGAGTGCAGTGGCGCGACCTCAGCTCACTGCAGCCTCCGCCTCCTGGGTTTAAGCGATTCTCATGCCTCAGCCTCCCAAGTATCTGAGATTACAGGTGGACATCACCATGCCTGGCTAATTTTGGTATTTTTAGTACAGATGGGGTTTCACCATGTTGGCCAGGCTGATCTCGAACTCCTGACCTCAAGCAATCTGTCCGCCTCAGCCTCTCAAAGTGCTGGGATTACAGGCGTGAGCCACCACACCCAGCCTAGTTCTACTTTTAGTAGAAAATCATGCAGGGTGAAGTGGTAGATGGAATGAGCCTGCAGGTGGGCAGAGGAAGCCAGGGAGACAGGGACTGTTTCAGTAGTTCAGAAAAGAGAATATAATGGCTTGGGCTTCCATGGGAGATGCACTATATATATATTTTGAACACAGAGGTATGGGCCTTTCTGTGAAATTCTACCATAAACAAAGAGAGGAATCAAATTTTGCCATGTACATTTTTTGGTCCAAGCAACTTGGAGGGTGTTAGGACAAGTTTCTGTGATAAATAAAACTTTGGAAGAAGTATATTTTTTGTGAGATGTGTGTGGGTGTTGGGGAAGAAAGCAAGAATTCTATTTGGCCATGTTAAATTTTGGATGCCTCATGGTTATCTAAATGAAAATATCTAAAAGGCAGTTGTACAGTGAACCTGGGTTAGGAGATAGATTGGCACTGAAGAAAAGGATTTGGGAATCTTCAGCATACTGAGGGCATTAAGAACCATGGAACCCGTTGAGGCTGCTTAAATAGAGCATAGATGGGAAAGGACAATGACCCAGCAGACAGTTTGGAGTTCTTGATATTGAGAGATCTTGGAGACAGAGACAACCCAGAAATGGAGTCTTGGAATGGGTGACCAATGGATAGTAGTAAGGAGGCTGTTTTGTTTGGAACACCTAGAAAATAAAATATTTCATGAAGAAAGGGGTGGACCAATGCTGATGAAGGTCAAGTAATATAAAGCTTGAGAGTGGACCATTGATTTGATGACATCAGCTTATTTGTAAACAAATCAAGTATAACTTTTAAAAAGTGTTAGCTATTTAACTCTTAAATAAAAATTGCTATGGTTTTTTTGAAAAATAAAAAGCTAATTAGCAAATTTCAGCTGAGTTACTATGAAACACATTATTGGGTCATGTAGATAATTCACACTTCACCTTATTCATCATGCTTATTCATCATTTGTAAAAAGCATAATAAGTTTTCTAGTTTTAAATCGTTACATGTTTTCTCAGTCTAGAAGCAATTAATCAAATGGTTCTTCTTACACCTGGAAACAGCTACCTTATTAGGTTGATTATCACTTCTGTATTCACTGATCTATGGAGGCATTGAAGCAGCCACCACCAATTTCATTATAAAAAAAAAAAAACTCCTGCAGAGTTTATCTATAACCCTTCTATTTATCTTAATGACCGTTGTGTCAGGATTGCTAGAACATGCCTAGATCATAATTAACGCTTATTCAGCATTTAAAGATTTAATCTAACACCAATAAGAAAACTGAAAAAAAATTAGTTACTGTTAATCATATTTTCCATACCTCCAACTGTCACATCAATATATACCACCTGAATCTTAATCTGTCTCCCAGCTTTCACATGATCTGATGGCCTGCTGGCAAGGCTGGACTAAGAAAAGCTTATGGTCTCCTTCCCATCTATGTAATTCAAAATGAAACAAAATTAAAATATACAGTAGCAGCAAAGTACTGTTTCTTCTGATTTTCAATAGTTTAAAAATATGTATACTAACAAAAAATTTTTGTGATGTTAATGCTTAAATTTCTTTTATCCAGTGCCATGTACTACTGGTTTCCATTGCAAGATCTGGCCATCATTTCAGGAGTACCATATGTACAACTGTACTTATCAACTTTTCCTAACAAAGCAGCGTTGCCTTAGACCGGCAGCTCTTAAACTATTTTGGACCAAGTGTCTCTAGAAAGCTGATGGAGGCTAGAGACCTCTAAAAAATACACAAAAGTGTATATGCAAATATTTCCCACAGCTTAATTTCCTTTCACTCCACGTTCATTTCCAGCACATGGCCAGTTTATAAAAACCTAGGAAGCGTCCAGGCACGTTCATTCTTGATTTTCATAATGATCACTTCCTAATCGTAAAATAGAAATGCCTCCAAACTCTGCAACTAAAACAAAATAAGCTTTAATTCTGCTCAAAGCAACTTTTAATGAAGAGGATTATGGTTTGGTTTGTATAAGAAGTGATTGTGGCATAACTGGAAATGTGTAAACAATCTTTGAAAGCCAACTGATGGAAGATTTGGGCTTCAAGAAGTGAAGAAAACCTGTACCTACAAAGGAAGGCAGAAGCAAACCGAAATCAAACTCCCATGGCTTGCTTTGTCATATGAGGAGGAGGTTTGTCAAGGAGCACCAGAATCCTATCCCATAATTTCTTTTGTGTTCAACTCAAAGAAGACATTGTGGTAAGGCTTGAATCATTGAGACCATCTGTGTTAACAGCAAAAGGATTACAATTCTGCTTTTCAATTTTAAAGCCTTCTGAGCAGAAGTAACCTTCAGAAAAGTTCTGCAGATTTCTGCCTGCTGAGAAATTGAAAGGCTGAGTTACTCTTGACACCAGCCTCCAGAAATGTTTCCTCCACATTGAAAAGTTTGCTTCTCCACTTCCAATCTTTCCTTCCAGAGAGGCAACCGAGACCAAAAAAAAAAAAAAAAGAGAGATTTTCAGCAGTCTCCAAAATAGTAACTTCAGAGACTTGACTCAAAAGTTTTACTTCGTTCTTTTAGCTGAAAATACCAGCCAAACCCCAAGTCAGGAACAAACTCCTTCCTGTCACATGGTTCTGAGAATGGGCTTGTTTCTTTCTGAAAACAAACAGGACTCCTTCCTGTTGTTCAGTCATGGGCTTCGCGACCGGTCCTCTGTCAAGCATCCTTGCACAGCTTCTCAAGTCTAGGCTTTTGTGACCAGGCAAAGTAAATTGTGGGTACATTCCAGCCTCTTTAAACTTAGTCATCTTGATTTAAAAAAAAAAAAAAAAAAGAGCCATATGGTCTGTTGTATTTGAGGAGGAGCAGATAGAAGGGGCCTTCTCAGCTCTGTGTGTGTGTGTGTGTGTGTTTGTGTTTAAACAGCTTTATTGAGGTATAATGGACACATAAGAAATGGCACATTTTAAAAGCATATAATCGGCAAATTGACATTATGTATGCACCCACGCAACCATGACCACAGTCAAGATAGTGAACATATCCACCACCTGCAAAAGTTTCCTGGGCGCTTTGTAATTCCTCCTCTTATCCTTTGCAGTCGCTCTTCCTAGGCAACCGCTAATCTGCTTCCTGTCACTGAAGATTAGTTTTCATTTCCCAGATCTTAATACAAATGAAATCATAGAGTATGGACTCTTTTTTTTTTTCTGGCTTTTTTCACTCAGCATAGCTATTTTGAGATTCATCCACGTTGTTGTGGGTTTCAATAAGTCATTTCTGTGTATTGCTGTGTAGCATTCTACACTGCAGCAGTCTCCAACCTTTTTGGCACCAAGGACTGGTTTCGTGGCAGACAATTTTTCCACAGACAGGAGTAGGGGGTGGTGGTGGCAGTGGTGGTTTCATCAGGCCTTAGATTATCATATTGAGTGTGCAACCTGGATCCCTTGCATGTGCAGTCTGCAATAGGGCTCGTGCTCCTATGAGAATGTAATGCCCCGGCTGAAATGATGGGAGGCGGAGCTCAGGCAGTGATGTGCGCTCAACTGCTGTTCACCTCCTGTTGTGTGGCCCAATTCCTGACTTGGGTATTTGCTGTGTGGTACCAGTCCATAGCTTGGGTGTTGGAGACCCCTGCTATAGTATGCTTGAACAACACAATTTGTTTATCCATTCATTTACTGATGGACATTTGGGTTGTTTCCAGTTTTGGGCTATTATAAAAAACTGCTATGAACATTCACGTACAAGTCTTTGCATGGACACTGGCTTTCATTTTTTTGAAGTAAATTCCTAAGAGTTGAATGGATGGGTCATAGACTTGGTATATTTTCAATTTTTAATAAACTTCCAAACTATCTTCCAAAGTGCACATACTATTTTTACATTCCCATCAGTCATGTGTGTGAGTTTCAGTTATTCCACATTCTTGCCAACACTTGGTATGGTGAGTCTTTAAATTTTAGACATTCTGATATGTGAATAGAGGAAGCATTGTAGTATTGGTTTTAGTTTCATGTTTTGATTTGCAAGAATCTTGGTCAACAGGCCATATTGAACCTTTGGTGTTCCAACATGTTTGTCAATGCAGATTAACCAAAGGTTGCATAAGACTCATTGTATTTGTTTTTCCTTGACATTGCCCTGTGTAATCAGGCTTGATGTAAACAAAGAATAATATCAATATAAGTAAGGAGATTATTTATATCAAAAAATGTTTTAGACATCATAGCATGGTAACAATAGTGTATTCCTATCATATCCATCTCTATCCATGTTAGGTGTAAAACTATTTCTTCATAATAAAATTGAACCTGGTTAATTTTTATTATTGATGCTGTTTTGTTGTTTTCACCCCACATAAATAATCTTTAACATATAAGAAAGAAATCAAAGAAATGCTTCCTTGGAAATCCAGTTCAAATATCTGAAATTTCTCTGTGAACTCCTTGCTTAAGTATCTGTGCTGTAGACTTTTATGTTCTCATCTGTTGGGAAGGCAATTCCTCTATTGTTTTCTGTGTCTTCTTCACTGGCTCCTCCTAAAGGATAAGGAGCTGTTAATCTCATTGGTCAGAGACCAAAACATTTATTAAATTGCATTTTACTAGTGGGAAGGCTCCCAGTATGCTAAAGGATGGTGCCCCTAGCTGTCCTTTCTTGACCCTTCCTCGGTAAGGAGCTCCCCAAGACAGGGTAGGCCTGGCTCTTGGCACAGACCTGCTATTCACTTTCTGTTCCAAGATGACCATCTGTGACTGGGTAGGTAAATCGGACAGGAGTTTGTTTTCTCCATCTGGAATAGCCGAGAGCCTTAGAGTATGGGGAGAAAAAAGAAAGTAGAAATTTCCTTCGAGCTTCTTGGCTGCAGCTGAATTTTCCACTGATGCTTTTTCCCAGGAGCCTGTGTTGGGGGATATAAGGCCCTTGATGAGGTCATGGAGTGGTACAACCTTCTCCATTCTACTTGGCATTGTTTCTTATGTACATGGTTTCTTGGTCAACAATTGTGAAAGAAAGAAGGGTTGAATAAAAGGACTTGTGGGTACGAATAAAAATGATCTCTTTATACTTCAAAGTTAGTTTTATACTTGCTCACTACCTCTTTCTTATTTATAACATTTGCAGGATTTGAGAAGAGGCACCCTCAAATATGTGACTCTTGCAAACTGACTATTTTGAGTCAAAAGCAGTTGAGAAGTGGGAGGGGCAAGTAGATCAGGCTGACCTCCCTTCTGTTTCGTAAAAGCAGGAGATAACATTTCCATGTGAGAGATGTCCTCTCGATACTAGAAGGAAAGTAACCCTTCTGTCATCAGAAACAGGAAGTTGAGGCTGAGAGAATCACGTACGGTCTTTATTAAAATCACCCATCATCTAGTCTCCCACATAATTTGGTTGCTTTTTTCACAACTTACTTTTGTTGGATTCAGTACATAAGTGATCAGCTCTAACTGCATCTGTGGGTCTTCATTTCCTTATGAAGGCTCCTGTGTGAAACCTGCATTACATACATTTGTATGCTTTTCTTCTGTTGATCTGTCTTGTGTCAGTTTAATTCTCAGGTCCAGCCAAAAATTCCTAAAAGTGTAGAGGTAAAATTTTGCCCCCCCTAAACATTATAGTCTTTCCTTCCTTTTTACATTTTTAGTTTAATCTCTCCAATCTAAGTGTTTACCTTACCATGTTTTGAACCACAATTGTTTTAAATCTTCCTTAAAGTGTGTATATTGTACATAGCATTCAATGTTCTCCCTAAAGAAACCAAATATTGAGCAATAATATTAAACATAGCATAAGGGATATAACAATTTCTGCAAGGACTAGCCCTTCAGTAATTTATAAACCAAAGTCACAAAAACGACATAGAGTCAGAACAGTTCATGATAAAAATAAAAACGTATGTGTTTACATGAGGCCACCAGATTAGAAAAATGTTCAGAAAATTATTTACCTAAAATTCCCTGATCAAATTTATTTTGTCCAGTCTCCTTTTCCAAGACAAATTACCACCAAAATCATTTAAGACAGATGGTTGCCTCTATTTTTAAAATGTTCTAGAGTCGGTAATTTCACAAGCTCCTTTGGTAGAGTCTGTTTCAGTGTTTAATCACTCTTACACTCAAGGCGCTCTTCCTTATGTCTAATATATGATGTCTAAATAATGAAATACACTGAGTGGAATAAGGAGGATAATTTTAACTCTCATAGCCGCTAGAACTGGAGACCTAAACAATTTTTCAATGAGACACATGATTCAATTATCCTCTCTATGGGGTTGACATCTCCATCCCTGACCTCTCACCCTCTTTATAAGTCTATAATTCTTTCCACAGGATATGGTCTACTGAATAATACCCTACAGACATTTGGAAATTAAACTAATCAAAATAGGCTAATTTTGCTTCTGAAGGAATGCAGTTTCCTTGTATTTGTAGTTCCATGATCTACTTTTTCTTCTACGTTTCTTTTACTCCCTCTCTTCTCTATTTACAACACAAAATTCAACAAACTGTTAAATCTAGCTATTAATATCCCATAGTTATTTCTCAAAGCAGCTTCATAGTCACAGTTTTGGTTAAGGCTCTAGGGCTTTCATTCCTGAACTACGTGTACTACAGATCCCAATTGGAATCTCTATCCTTCCCTATGACAGTGGTTGACCACCTTCCTCGACATTAGATTCGGGGTGATAATGACAATATTCTGAACAAAGCTCACTTTTTTCCCCTGCTCTCTGGTGTCATCTTTTCTCCAGCCAGAGATGTCTCCTGAGTAGCCAAGACTAGTGTAAGTTTTTATTCTCAAGGTTCTTTTAGGTGTCAACGAATCCTTTCAAAAGGATTCAGAGATAATTAAATGTTAGGAAATACAGCTTAAAGAGTATCCCTTCCTAGGGAATGTGAACTTCAGATGTTTGATGTGCGGAGAAGGATTGCCTTCCTGGTGTGTTCTGTTCACAGTACACCGCAGGGCATTCTTGCGGGACTGCGAGCAGAGGCCGCTCCCCTGTTCCTGCTGGCTTCAAAAGAGTGGGCCACTGGGCAACTTGGCATGTCTGGCATGCTCCTCTAAAAAGCGCATGCCCCTGCCTGAGTGGATGCTCCCTGCTTTCCCGTGACCAGGTGCAGATGGCGGCTCACTTCCACCCTGCAGTTTGCTTTCCTGCCCCCCACAATCAACGTCCCCACCCCTTCTTTCCATCTCAGGACGGCTAAGAACTGCTCCTTACCCCTGTCACTGAAAGTCATGGCTGCAGGTCCCAGAGTGAGTCCTTCCAACTTCCCCAGAATGCAAGGGTTCAAATAGTACTCATAATATAACAAAGATGAAGGTAGGTGTTAGAAGAATGAATGCTATTTAGGATCACTCTCTCCTCACTCTCAGATTAGGAAGCTATGTTGAAGTTACTGATGTAATTGAAACAAGGTGGAAACAAAGCGAGGTGCCCAGATTGAAGAAATCCTCAACATTCAACTTAGTATTTGAGGGCAGTAGAGCTTCTGGTTAACAGTGGGGTCCCAAATGGCCCACTGAATCCTTATTTCTTCCGTTACTGGTGGTCATGCTTGGCCACATCACTCAACTTCTTTGCCCTGGTTTCTTCATCTGTAAAACGGGGATTGTACCAACATCATACGTGGGTTTTAGGCTGAAATATCAGGCGCTAAGGTAGTGCTATGAAGTATTAGTTGTACTCACTGATGAAAGATAAGAGACGGCAAATGGAGGCTTCATTTTCTGGACTTGGCACCAAAGAGAAAGAGAGGATAGTGCGGGTCTTCTTCCAGGATAGGAGTGGCTTCAGCAGGTACAGAGCCCATGAAGACAGAGGCCTTGGCAAGGTGAATGGGAGATGATTGATTCAATGGCTAAAAGGTGCCCAGCCCTGAGCATCATGCCTGGCACTGAATGAATGATGGCTGAATTTGTTAAATTGGGAAGGGTCTGTTTTTCCTCAGCTCTAGGAATAAGGAGAGAGTGCGGGAGTATAGAAAGACTTCAGAAATAAAAAGAGAATTTAATGTTAAATACATTGGCCTAGACATATTTTATTAGGTAAAAAAGTATGGTTTGTTGGTTAAACAGGAGGAAGACTGACCAAATACAGTAGAAATGGTGGAGAAGGTAGTTTTCACTTATTTTAGTGAGTGCAGATAAGAAGAATAAAGAAAAGTGTACTTGGGTTGAGCTGATTAACGTGTTATTGACCAATAACAGCCTAACATAATATTCTTTGTTAAGAAATTTCTTTTAAGAAAAAAATAATGATCTGCTTCTTTTGTTTTTGTTTGTTTGTTTGTTTGTTTGTTTTGTTTTGTTTTTGAGACAGAGTCTCAATCTGTTGCCCAGGCTGGAGTGCAGTGGTGCGATCTCAGCTCACCGCAACCTCTGCCTCCCAGGTTCAGGAGATTCTCCTGCCTTGGCCTCCCGAGTAGCTAGGACCACAAGAGTGTGCCACCACGCCTGGCTAATTTCTGTGTTTTTGCTAGAGACAGGGTTTCATCGTGTTGGCCAGGCTGGTCTTGAACTCCCGACCTCGTGATCCACCCGCCTCAGCCTCCCAAAGTGCTGGGATTACAGGTGTGAGCCACCGCACCTGGCCCTTTGGTTTTGTTTTTAAGGGAACTCCACCACTTGAACTGGGATTTGAATGGAGACAGTTTTAGAGAGACCCCCATTTTCGCAGATTGCCTGGTCGTCGTCTCTTCCCATAGCTCCTCTGCTTTCCTTGGACTCATTGTCTAGTTGAGTCCTCATAACAGTTATGTGAAGTACGTGTTCTTATTATTCCTATTTTACAGAGAAGGAAGCTACCAGGATCAGAACCTGTGGAATTCAGGTCTGGGGATTTCCTCAGGTCTCTGAAGACGTTCCTTCAAATGCTAAGGATGTTCCACTATATTTCGTGATCATTAGCTGCGTGAGAACCGACACATACCATAGACATCTGCCTGTCAGGGAAATCTTTCAAACATCCATTCATCTTCAAGGCTGAGATATCAGATGGAAACTTTGGCCAGAGTGGGGTAGGAAGTGAGTTCAAGTCTTCCCCTTCCCTCCATCCCACCTAGTTAAATGCAAAGAAATAATTACTTTAAAGTTTTTTTGGTAAGTTCTACCTCTGAACCCTACATTCTAATGATTAAAGCAAAAGCTGGAAGCCACGGTTTTCTTGAATTAGAATTATTACTGAGCCTCCAACGCTCTAGGCTACCTGATGCAGGTCCCCTAGCCTCTGTGGATTTCAGCCAAAGCAGTGACAAAACTGGACATAGAAAACCTCACTGAAAGAAATCCAAGCTATGGGACCCTCCTGTTTAAATTAATAGGAAGAAAAGTATATGGAGGAAGCAGAATATATAAAGAAGTGAAATAAAGGTTTCTTTCACTTTTTGGTTGAGAGTCGATTATAGAGGCCAAATATATGGTCCTGCTGACAACAAATGCTTGATTAAAAGAATCTTAGGCATGTGATTGAAATGGCCTCATTTGCTATTTAGTTTTCTAGAGTTAATGACATTTTTTCTGCATTACATTATTTTTGTCCTGCTTAAATAATAATTTTAAAAAGAAAAGAAATGAAAACACGAGACCAAGTGCCCTTTTGCCTTGCCGGAGGGAAAGTACAATGCTAAATAGTCTCATTTTTTAGTATATCATCACATTTAAAATACAGTTTTCTCACTACTTAAATCAACCTACAAGTCTCAGTAGTTCAGTGAATTTTCTTGTTGGTCTTTCTGATCCCTTTCCTCCAAACATTTTTCCTGACCGATGAATGTACAATGTCAAAAGCTTCAGGCTGCGATATACAAATAAGAACAACACGTAAGAGATAACGCAGACTAGGATTAAATTCAGAGGCTGCATTTGTTTTCTCTGCATACTTAATGTGGTCTCATATTGTTGAGAACTGTAAATTATAATGATTTTTAAAAAATCGGTCCATCTGTGAATCAAGTACAAGGTGCTCCATGGCTCCTAAAGTAATTTTTTTTTTAGTTGAAATATGCATGTTTAGTTGCCAAGTTCTGCACTTTTCTTACCTACAAGGAAAAGTCACAAAGGCAGTTAGTGATCGCATCATATGTACAGGAAATCTTTGTTTGGGTAAGTAATTGGATGATTGAAAAAAGGAGGATTTTTTTTTTTTTTTTTGCCACTGGATACGTTTATGTTGCATCGCTTCCTCAATTCAACTATATGGACATTCATCCTCCTTAGCTTTACCGCATCCCGACAGATTAATCAAATCTAATAACAGTGCCAAAAGCGACCTATTATTTATGCCTTTGCTTTCTGCTGCTAAATATATAGCTAGCTGTGTCCAAAGGAAAAATGTTCATTAGGCACCCATGTTCGTGCATGTTGCTATTGTTACTAATGAAACAATGAGGTGCAATTGTAATTTTAAAAAGAACTTCGGCAAACTTTTATTTCAAAACCTATAGGATGAAAATTGTTAGAGGAACAGAAATTTGGATGAAAGTTTGAGTCCTGGGGTAGCCTAGCACCTATTGAGAGTTCTTTAACTTAGGGGTAGGACCGTAGAAGAAATGTCAAGTTTTCTGCATTAACTTAAAACATTTTAGTTGGATATTTTAAAGGAGAAGAAAATTCTAACCAATGAAGGTGTTTAGTTTATGTCATTCCTAAACCACACACTTAGGAAAATATTAAAAAGTTATGATATAGCTGAAGCATTACCATCAAGGTGGAATGTTGGTAGTAGGATTAAGGAATACAGAAGAAGCTTGGTGGAGGCCACTCTGGACAGTTAGGTAAGAGGACTAAATGAAATTAGGTCACTGAGACTTCCTCAGAAGTTAGATCTCAATACACAGCAGTTTATACCCGTTTCCGAAAACCTGAGGTATTCTGTTTGTTAGCATAGAATTTGAGCCTCTGAGGGAAAGAAGGGCCACTCTCTTCTTTCCCCACCTCTTTTATAGCTGGATCCTTTGGTTTACATGTGAGATACTAGAACCCCTCTTCTGGCTTTCAGGCAAGATATTGCTTTTAATTCTTCCAACAAATACTCATTGAGTGACTATGAATATGTCAGTGCTACTCATGTAATATGCTTGGTGCTGGAGAAATATTGAAAGGCAAACAGGAGTGCTCACTGCCTGCAAGAAGCTTAGAAGATTGGGAATACAGATCTTAATCAACTAAATCTTTATACATGGATAACTGCTTTGAAAGGGGCTATGAGAGTATGTAACAAGAGAAATTGATCTAGCTAAGAAGACAAGGAAGGTGTCCTGGAGGAAATGGATTTTGAGTTGAAAACAAGAACAAAATTTGATTCTAAAATCTGTATTAAGTCTATCTTAGAGGTAGGAGGATATTATTAGAATTACATAGACATTAGGAGTTTGTGTGTGTCTGAACGTTTCGAAAGGACAGACACAGTTAATAACATAGTATGACCAAACTTCTGAAATCAGCAGGTAACACAGTCAAAATCATGGGCAAGTTATCAAATCTCAATTTATTTGTTATTAGTATAATTTCACCAACCTCAAAAAGCCATTATGAGATTAAGTTAAATAATCTATATGAAGTACTTATCACAGTGACTAGGAGGTGGCACGCCCCCACGTTTTTTAACCTAAAGTGTTATTTTCAAGGGCGGTTTAAATGAACAATCCATATAGCTGCCTATAATTAGGGTGGATATACAATTTATTGTCCAGGACATTTTTGAGCATGAAAAGTATCCGGATGAGAGGTATAAAATGGAAAGTTGGTCACCCTATCTATATTTTACTGCCTAGCAGAGATGATGTGGAAAAGCAATTAGCAAAACATCCATGTTGCCCACACAAATCATAGCCAGCTCCCTCAAAAACATGGTTTGTAATATGGCCTGGTGGAACTTTGCCTAGAATATTCTGATATTATACCACTCTGATCACACAGATCGTTTTAAAGTATATGGATATTAGAAGGGAAATCTCGTGGCTATTACTGCTTTCCTTTTATTAATTACAAAGTTGATACCTGCCCAAAGTAAAAAAAAAAAAAAATACTACAGAAGGGTATAAAACAAAAAATAAATATTTTCTACCTCTTCCCCTAGTCCCACTGCCCAGGGACTATTTCTTGAATATCTGCCCAAAGATGTGTGTGTGTGCATGCACATGTGTGTGGGTAGGTCCATTTATATATATGCAGTAATGCTACATGCATAATAATGTAGTTCATATCTCTTGAGAAATAAGCATGTCTAGAATAAGTAGTTTTTGCTCAGACCACATAAATTTCTTCAAAGGTGACTGAACAACATCCTTCCTACCTTACATCCAATGACCTCACTAACAAGATGGCCGCTTTCCTTTTCAGATGGAGCACCTTGGCTACCAGTAGGGGGCAGTCCTTGTGCAGCCTGGCGGCTCCATGACCCTGGGCTGCTATTCTCAGTTTCTTTCTCACTAACCGCAAAGGAGTTTTCTTTTCTTTTCTTTCTTTCTTTTTTTTTTTTTTTTTGATTTGTTTTGCTTTGTTTTTTGAGATGGGAGTCTCACTCTGTTGCCCAGGCTGGAGTGCAGTGGCACTATCTCGGCTCCCTGCAACCTCCGCCTCCCAGCTTCAAGCGATTCTCCTGCCCCAGCCTCCCGAGTAGCTGGGATTACAGGCGCCCGCCACCACTACTTCCCAGACCGTGGGAGACTGTTTGTTTGGTTTAAAGTCATAGCAAATTCGTCTTGATTAACTCAGCCCAACTGCACCTGCCTGGGCCTCTGGTTCATTTTAGGAAGGTACATCAGTATCAGGCAATTCAGATTCATTCCAGAGACAGAGTGGGAGAGGATGAGCTAGCACTTGTTCACACACCCATCACAAATGATTTTTTTTTTCTCTCCCTGCTCCTTTTTCTTTTTCTCAATGCAAAGCATGCACAACAGCTGTGAATGTGAGAGACAGGCCCGTGCCCTATGCAAAGCAAAACAGTCACCAGGACTTGGAAAACATTATAGTACCTGCCATCATGAGCTGGTGAAACCAGGAACAATGAATACATTTAGGCATTAACAACTTTATCCCGAAAGCAAACATATGTGCTTACAATATGAGCTTGTGCTCATTGAGAATTAACTGCTTGACAGAAGTAAATGTAAGGCGGGGCCAGGCACAGTGTCTCATGCCTGTAATCCCAGCACTTTGGGAGGCCGAGGCAGGCAGATCGCCTGAGGTTGGGAATTCAAGACCAGCCTGGGTAACATGGCGAAACTCAATCTCTACTAAAAATACAAAAATTAGCTGGGCATGGCGGTGGGCGCCTGTAATCCCAGCTACTCAGGAGGCTGAGGCAGGAGAATCTCTTGACTCCAGGAGGCGGAGGTTGCAGTGAGCCGAGATGGCACCACTGCACTCCAGCCTGGGCAATAGAGGGAGACTCCGTCGCAAATTAAAAAAAAAAAAAAAAAGTAAAGCGGAACTTTGAAAGAGGGAAACCTGGAGGAAGAAGTTCACCGCACAGAATAACAGGTATAGTATTTTTCCACAGGTTCTACTGAGGAGCCAATGAATTGTTTTGTTAAATTTTTAATAAATGCAATGGTATTTTGAGAGTTTGAAAGGGGGAAAAGTTTGGTCTTCTTTGGTCTTCTATGGTATGTCTTACAAAAGACTGCTAAATGCAAGATAGTAGGAAAACCGGGATATTTGAAGAACAAACTGTGGGTGTTTGTTTTGTTTTGTTTTGTTTTGTTTTTGAGATGGAGTCTCTCTCTGTCGCCCAGGCTGGAGGGCAGTGGCACTATCTCGGCTCACTGCAAGCTCCGCCTCCCAGGTTCAAGTGATTCTTCTGCCTCAGCCTCCCGAGTAGCTGGGATTACAGGCGTGCACCACCACACCAGAGTAATTTCTGTATTTTTCACAGAGATGGGGCTTCACCATGTTGGCCGGGCTGGTCTCAAACTCCTGAGCTCAAGCGATCCACCAGCCTCGGCCTCCCAAAGTGCTGGGATTACAGGCGTGACTCACTGCACCCATTCGAACTGTTTTTTTTCCCCTCACTGATAGCTCCTTGTTTTTCCAGTTATTTTCCTGGGGCTGCACTTGCCTTTCTTTGCTATGTATGCCATTTTTGCTGTTTGCCTTGAGCTGAGAAGCATGGGGAAAAATGATCTGTCCCTGGTTGTATGCCCTGGGCTTTCAAGGAAAACAGAAAAAATACAAGGCAACTTGGCTCCTTGGATAGTTTTCTGTGTTGTGTGCAACCAAACCACACATACATTTTCTGTCCCCTGATGTCCTACTTGGCAAAACCTCCTCTCCTCATTTCTTGACTGAGCAATTCTGAACCTACAGGCACCACCAACTTCAGTAGGAATCTAGAGTTTATGAAGACAGGCCACCAAGTCTGGGTCATTTCCTGCCTGGATGAATTCTGAGCCAGATTTATGCTGATACTCCATGGGGCTAACCCTAGGCAAAGTGATGAACATGAAGCATCTCTCTCCTCTCTCTCTCTTTCTCTGTCTCTCATTACTGTACGATCTCTCCTCTCAGGGGGGTCTGGGACTCCCTCGTTTCTCCTTCGTCCTAGAAAAAAAGCAGTGTGATCTTCTTAAGCATAGTCAGGTGCTGGGGGCCCCACTTCTGCTATCTGAGCTGTTGATGGGGGTTATCTTATTTTCAAAACATCACTTATTATTTACAGCCATCATCTGCGAGACAGTAATACTTTGCACAGAGACTCCCCACTCTCTCCCTGCAGTTTCATGTGGAGAGGAGCTGCTGGGCTCCACAAATGGGTTGGGGTGGCAGATGGAGAAGATCTGCATATGCCCAGGAGCCTCTCAGTCGGGGGAAGCCACCACCGTGTGCTCCCTTTAATTTTGTAGGTACTTCTTGGCTGTGCACGGTGGCTCACGTTTGTAATCCCAGAATGTTGGGAGGCCGAGGCTGGTGGGTCACCTGAGGTTGGGAGTTCAAGCCCAGCCTGAGCAACATGGAGAAACCCTGTCTCTACTAAAAATACAAAAATTAGCCAGGCATGGTGGCACATGCCTGTAATCCCAGTTACTCAGGAGGCTGAGGCAGGAGAATTGCTTGAACCCAGGAAGGGGAGGTTGCGGTGAGTTGAGATCGCGCCACTGCACTCCAGCCTGGGCAAGAAGAGCGAAGCTCCATCTCAAAAAATAAATAAAATAAAATAAAATAAAATAAAATAAAATAAAATAAAATAAAATAAAATAAAATAAAATAAAATAAAATTGTAGGTACTTCTCCTAGAGAACCATAGTGGCAGTCTCCCAAACATGGGGATGGTCCTGGGCACCTTGAACTTAGCCCAGGTGGGTAGGTTTACTATGAAGGAAGAAAACTTTTCTACTCTTGATGAACCTAGTCTCTTCTTCCTGGAGGTGGTCTATAGGAAAAAGCTACTCAGAAATTCTGGCTTAGGAATTCCCCTCAGCCTCAAACACTTCTTAAATCTGAAGGCTACCATTATTCTGGCCATCTGTGCATTTCTGAAAAAAGATGCCGAGTTGAAAGTTACTGTGACGATTTGGAGATAATTTACATTTCAAAATTCAAAGTGACCAATTTGGTATAGTTATAAAAGATTCACTAAGAAACCCATAACTCATCATAGTTTCTTTAGAACTTAAGATGGAATCCAATCAACCTTCCCATCCTATTGCCTGCCTGCTTAAATCCATAAAGAATACACTTTCCAGAATTTTCTCAGAAGAGATAGTGTATCAAGGAATATTATGGGAAAAAGTAGAATGTTTTTCCTAGGATTTCTTAAATTACAAAATTCGAGCTAGGTATTTTTAAAAGATCGCTCTGGTGGCAATGGACAGAACAGTTTGCAAACGAGTCAGAGTAGATGTGGGGGGAGTGGTTAGGAGGTGTCTCTCATGTGAGTCTGTTTCCATGTGAGGGGTGAGGGCACCCTGATGTGGGCGGTCACAGTGGGGTGGGCTCAGTTTCTCACAACTGATGCTTATTTTCCTCTCCTGCAGCCTCTGGTGAGCAGGAGCCTGACCTGGACTTGGCCAGAGTCCGCTTCTTCCTGAGACTTCCATGTGGAGCAAATGACTGCAGGGAGCCAAGGACAGAGAAATCCTGTGATCAGGAAGCCCAGGCAGGGATGGGAGAGGGGAGCCTGCTTTTCTCATGAGCGCTGTCTCACACTGACAGGAAGCTGGCTATGTGCAGAGGCTTTTCCAGCGGTTTGCATGTGTGAGGGGCTGAATCGTGCCCCCTTCCCCACCTACCAAAAATGTTTGTATTGAAATTCTAGCCCCTAGTACCTCGGAATGTGACTGTATTTGGAGATAGGGCCCTTGAAGAGGTGAATACGGTAAAATGAGGCATAATGAGTTAATCCAACATAACTGGTGTCCTTATAAGAAGAAGAGATTAGGACACAGACATTCACAGGCAGAGATGACCACAGGAGGATGCAGAGGGGAGGTGGCCATCTGCAGCCAAGGGAAGAGGCCTGAGAAGAAACTTCTCCTCACTGCAGTCCTTTGATGGAGATGCTGAGATTATGCACTATAGAGTGGCAAAGTCTGAAGTACAGAGAGATGAGGACCTTGCAGGAGGTGACATCCCTGGTCAGTGGCAGAGTCCGATCTCAGCACTGGCAGCCTCTGGCCCTTCCCTGCTGCTGAGCAGTGCCTCTCCGCAGCGGGCAGTGGACAGAAGCTTTCGGGATAACCATGGGCTCACGTCAGAGAAGCCAGACCCTGGCCGCTATTCCTCCGTCTCTTGCCAGGGCTGAAAGCTGCCTCTTTTGCTGTCAGTTAAGCCTAGAGACTCTTCTCTCAGGGAGCAGGGAGAAAGGGCTGCTTGGCGAGGAGGCCTAATCAGAGGGCTTGGGAGTCCAGGGAGAAGCAGTGCAGACCTCCAGACAAAGCTGGACTTCCACACTGGGCCAAGAGGGAAAACAAACAAAGAAAAGGAAAGACATCTTCCCCACAGAGCTCAATCCCCAGAGAAAGGCTTTCTTTAACTATTGACGGAGTCCTTGACCCTTCCACTTGTTCCCTGCTCACCTTCCCAGCACAGAAACCTCTGGTTCATGGGCCTGATCCAGCCACTTCCAGGGAGCTGGAGGGTCCCTGGCCACAGTTTAGTGCACTGGCCTGTGGGGTAAGTAGACGTGGGGGCTGTGAAGAACTCCAAAGGACTTGCTCATCAACATGAAAGAGCAATGGAGGATGGACGGACTGAAGGATTGACAGACTGGAGGAAAACTGAAAGGGTGGAGGGTAGAAAAAGAGAAAAACAAATTTCTGGGGACAAAAGAGACAATTTTAAAAAGTTAGAATTCTTAAACAGTTTCCAGAGGAGACTACATATATCAAAAATTAGATCACATTGGTATTAAAAAAAAGAGCAGAGTAGAAAGAAAGAACTCTCATGTATTAAAAATATGGTCACAATCCTTCACCCCCACCAAAATGGATAGAGCATGTAATAAAATGTAAACAGTCTTGGGCATCTTGAAGAAAAAGTTGAGGCAGTCAGTGTATCATCAATACAGCAAAAAACCCAGAGTGGCATAGGATATTAGAGCAAAGTGTATAGGGATGGAGACAAGTTTCAAGAAGTTCAACGTCTATCTCATAGGAGTTCTAGGAGGAGTGAGCAGAGATAATGTTGGGAAAGAGTATGTAGAGAAGGAATAGCAGAAATGCCCCCTTTGAGTATTTACAGTGAGAGAACTGATCAGAATCCATGAAAGGTTCTGATCAGAATGCATGAAAAATTCTCAAACCTAGACTTCTTAGTGGAATTTCAGAACTCCAAGGACAAAGAGAAAATCCTTAAGAAAAATCCAGAGAGGGGCCGGGTGCGGTGGCTCACGCCTGTAATCCCGGCACTTTGGGAGGCCGAGAAGGGTGGATCACCTGAGGTCAGGAGTTTGAGACCAGCCTGACCAACATGGAGAAACCCCATCTCTACTTAAAAAAAAAATATATATATATAATATATATAATATATAATATAATATAATATATATTATTTATATATATATTAATTATATATTATATTATTACACATAATTTATTATTATATAATAATAAAATATATATTATATATTATATATTATTTATATATAATATATAATTTATTATTATATAATAAAATATATATTGCATATTACATATATTATATATATATTATATATATAATATATATAATATTAGCCGGGTGTGGTGGCACATGCCTGTAATCCCAGCTACTTGGGAGGCTGAGGCAGGAGAATCGCTTGAACCCGGGAGGCAGAGGTTGCGGTGAGCCGAGGTCGTGCCATTGCACTCCAGCCTGGGCAATAAGAGTGGAACTCCGTCTCAAAAAAAAAAAAAAAAAAAGAAAAGAAAGAAAAGAAAAAGAAAAATCCGGAAAGGAAAAGAGTGGTAGCTGCTATAAGAGATATAGGTAAGACTTATAATTAGATGTTTCTTCCTCAGGCGCTTAATAGTTTAAAACAGTTTTCTGTGGGTGACTTTCCCTTACATACGCATTCAACACCCAGGTCCTTCCTTCCTGTGGTTCTGCTGTCTGTGGAAAGAATGTGTGGGGGGACCATAGTTGCCTCATAGAAGCCTTAGCCCTTTTCTCTGCGTCCTTCCTTCCACACTGCTGGTGGAATGTAAATTAGTACAGCCTCTATGGAGCACAGCGTGGAGGTTTCCCAAGGGACTAGAAATAGAACCACATGATCCAGCAATCCCACTACTGGGTATCTACTCAAACGTAAAGAAATCATTAGAGCAAAAAGACATCTGCACAGTTCAGGACAGCAAAGAAATGGAATCAACCTAAGTGCTCATCAGTGGATGACTGGATGAAGAGAATGTGTATATATACACAATGGAATACTATTCAGCTATAAAAAAGAATGAAATCATATCTTTTGCAGCAACATGGACGGAACTGGAGGCCATTATTTTAAGTGGAACAACTCAGAAATAGACAGACTGCATATTCTCACTTCTAAGTGGGAGCTCATTAATGTGTACATATGGCCGTAGCATGTGGAATGATGGACAGTGGAGACTAGGAAGGGTAGGGGTAGGAGGGGCGGATGATCAGAAATTACATAGTGGAGACAATGTCCATTATTCAGATGATGAATACACTGAAAGCTCTGGCTTCACCACTGTGCAATATATCCATGCAACAAAGTTACACTTGTACCCTCTTGAATTTATACAAAAAACCTAACAAAGCAAAACAAAATGTGTCCCCTAAATGGAAGCTATCACTCTTGCTATTGATTCCTGGCCATGTCTAACTGCAAGGAAGGCTGGGAAATGCAGTCTATCTGTGTCCATGGAGAAGATAAGCAGATCATCAGTCTCTCTGCAGTCTGACAGCAGGCTGCTGAAATGGAGCAGCGGAAGTCAGGAAACAAAGCCATACTTTGAAATTCTAAAGAAAAAGGAGTTGAACCCCAAATGTCGTATATAGCTCAGCCATCAAATTAAGTGTAAGAGCACTGATTCAGAAAGCTTCCATACCACTCAACCTATATGAAAAAAATTTGCTCTTCAAATTCACCAATTAAAATAATACATAATTCCAAGAAAAGAGGCAATATGGTTTGCAAGAAAAAGCATAGTTGAGAAGGATCCAGAAGATGCTAGAAAGAAAATAATAGAAGAGATAGTTTACTGGGTTGCTTGCTAATGTCTTTTTTTCAGTGGTACCATTTGAAAGACTTGGGATTACACTTTATTTTTTGATGGGTCCAATTCTATTTAGTTTTAGAACCCAAAAAATGACATTACCATCGAATTGTAAAATCTGTTTATTGCATTTTAGATCAACCTATTGGTATACCATGGAATAATTAACTACAATATAAATAGAAAAAACAAGAAAATAATTGATACATCAGAAAGTGTAATTAATAAACTAAATTCTTGAAAGTTTTTAGTGGAGATGTAGAGCTTCTAAATTTCCTAAATTAAGAAGAAAAACAAATATATAATGAAATATTATATCAATAGCTACAAGGATAACAAAAAACTTAAACTCCTGATGGACTGTGGAGAGTGGAATTAGGGGAATGAATGGGGGACTGGTAGCGGTCAAGAATTTTACTTTATGTTTTATATGTTCTTACATTATAACACTAAAAAAATTACTTGCATGAATTACTTTTATAATAAAAAGTGCCAACAAAATTCCATTCGATGCAAAAATAATAGCATTTTAAATGACTGAAAAACAGAACTTGATGTAGACTTCTTTAGAAACCCTAACAATAATATATTGGCATCTCCATAATTATTGACCTAATCTCTCAATTCTGTTGCAACTAGATCTTTAGTCCCATGATGTACCTTCTTTAGTACATTTTCACTTTTGTAAAATGAAGATCTCAACCTAAATCATTCCTAAGTTAGCCCTCTCCAGTTCTAAGTTCCTACGGCTTCTATATAATGATCTATATTTAAAAACATATAATTCTACCTTTAACAAAAGGAAGTAATTAATTTTATTTCCATGGTGGTCTAATAACTTGTTCTCTCATCTTTTCATGGGAAGTTTGTCTCCTATGACCTTTGTTGAACTCACTTACTTCTGAATCAATGATCATATCCTGATAAACTGGAAGACATTTTTTTTTTTTTTTTGAGACGGAGTCTCGCTCTGTCGCCCAGGCCGGACTGCGGACTGCAGTGGCACGATCTCGGCTCACTGCAAGCTCCGCCTCCCGGGTTCACGCCATTCTCCTGCCTCAGCCTCCCGAGTAGCTGGGACTACAGGCGCCCGCCACCGCGCCCGGCTAATTTTTTGTATTTTTAGTAGAGACGGGGTTTCACCTTGTTAGCCAGGATGGTCTCGATCTCCTGACCTCATGATCCACCCGCCTCGGCCTCCCAAAGTGCTGGGATTACAGGCGTGAGCCACCGCGCCCGGCCGGAAGACATTTATATGAAGGTGAAGAGATTGTTTTTCTTCCTTGATAGCCAAGACCTCAAGTGAAGTGACTAGGTAGGAACTCCTGAAAGGATTTTTCCTCAACTGAACAGAAACATAAAAGCAGTTATCAGAGTTAGCTGTGGAACTGCTCACTGTGTATTTCACAATATTAAATCTTCGGGGAGTTTCAATTTTATTAATGGACTTTTTTCTGAGTCCTCAATTTCTGTAAGATTTATGAATACATCTCTAAGTTTCTCAGTGTGCAAACTATGCCTGTATGATATCTTAAGGATTTTTTTTGCTGCCTGTGAAAGTACATTTCTCTGAATCCCATGAATTTGTCCTTTGAGATATTTGGGACAGGTTTGTTCTGAAGAATATACTTGTACCAGCAAGGGGGTTTGCTCAGCACATAGAGGGTGTGAATAGGAGTATAATTTTAATGCTTATCTGTTTTTGTTTTAAAAGAATAAAATATTTTAATCACTAAACATGTATTAAAAATTAAAGTATTGATTTTCTAATATAACCTGAGTTTGTTATTGTTTGGGTTCAAATTTTGGCAGCAAATTATTTGTGCATTAAGACGAGAGAGAGACAGACAGACAGAGAAATCTCTGCCAGGTGACACTATATTAGCCTTGTTCTAGTTCCTTAAATATTCGTTTTCTATATTTCATGCTTTCACTAATTCATATCTTTTTAGCAAGGATTTACAGTTTATATCATTATTACCACATAATTATCCTCTTCTTGAATGAAACAGTAATCATTAGTCATGTGGCTTTATACATTAACATCAAGATTCATATTTCTTTAAAAAAAAAATTTAAGAAAGACAGGCAGTGCTGGCCAGGATGTGGAAAAAAGGGAATCTGTGTACACTCTTGGTGGGAATGTAAATTAGTAGAGCTACTATGGAGAATAGTATGGAGGTTCCTCAAAAAACTAAAAATAGAACTACCATATGATCCAGCAATCCCAGTGCTAGGTACATACTCAGAGGAAAGGAAATCAGTAGATCAAGAGATATGTGCCCTCCTGTATTTACTGCAGCGCTATTCACAATAGCCAAGATTTGGAAGAGACCTAAGTGCCCATCAACAGATGAATGGATAAAAAAACGTGGTACTTACACACAATGGAATACTATTCAGTCATAAGAAAGAATGAAACCTGTCATCTGCAACAACATGGATGGAATCAGAGGGTCATTATGTTAAGTGAAATAAGCTAGGCATAGGAAGACAAACTTCACATGTTCTCATTCATTTGTGGGAGCTAAAAGTTAAAACCATTGAACTCATGGGGATAGAGAGTAGAAGGATGGTTACCAGGGGCTAGGAAGGGTAGTGAAGGGTGGGGTGACTGGGGATGATTAATGGGCACAAAAATATAGTTAGATAGAATGGATAAGGTCTAGCATTTGATAGCACAGCAAAGTGATTACAGTCAACAATAATTTATTATATATTTAAAAATAACTAAAAGAGTATAACTGGAATGTGTGTAACACAAAGAAATGACAAATGCTTGAGCTGATGGATGCTTCATTTACCATGATGTCATTATTATGCATTGTATGCCTGTAGCGAGTATTTCATGTACCCCATAAATATATACACATACTTTGTTCCATCAAAATAAAAATATAAAGTAAAACAATAAGGAATGTACTCATTGACAAAAAAAAGTGTGAAACTGTAAGAAAGTAGCAAGTTCAAATCAAAGAAAGAAAAACTATTTAAGGAGCATATTGCTTCTACCACAGTTGTAAGGCAGTCACATGGAAACTTAAACATTTGACACTATTTTTTTCTTTTTCTAACTGAATATAGACCTACTTTAGTTTATTATGTTTTATATATCTTCTTATTTTTCATATGTTTCTCAAAAGAAGAAAATGTGTCAATGCCTTAACAATAAAAATCCTACCTTTGGGATTTTCTCCCTGAGCCCCTGTAGGAAGGACTGAGAATCTTGACAGGTTTCTTCTCATGAGATTCTCAGCCCATTTGTTCAGTACTTTTGTTTTTAGGAAAGTTTTACTCAAGCATTCCGAACTTTGGGAACTGCTAAACCAAATCTCTAAAACTGATAGAAGTTTCTAAGTAGAAAAATGCTTATAAACTTGTTTAATTTCATATTTTATCAGAACAGTGGTTAATCTATCGTTTGAAATTTTTTGCAGCATCTCTAAGGATAAAATATAAGATGAACTATGCTACAGCGATAAAAATGCCTGCTTCTTATTTGAGCCAATATACACTATAAAGATTCCTATAATCATATTGGTGAAATATATACATATATTCTCTTTTTCCTTCTTTTTTCCTCTAAAAGGAAAAAGAAGATGACATTAATAGATATACCAAGAAACTGCAATCTGTGCTGTTATAAATCTAGTAAAAGTTTCATACACTATAAAGGATGGAACAAAACACTTTGTAAGTTATGCCTAATAAAAACAGAGCTTGGTGTTAGAGGGAACAGCTGATTTGCCTGATTTTATTGTTTTAATTATTATTCAAAAATATAGAATTCATATCTAATTGTATTTACTCATGATCAATAACAAAAAATGTTGTAAATAAAATAATTAAAACAGGGCCAGGCACGGTGGCTCACACCTGTAATCCCAGTGCTTTGGAAGGCTGAGGCAGGAGTATCTCTTCAGCCCAGGAATTCAAGACCAGCCTGGGCAATATGGAGAGACCTAGTTTCTAAAAAGTTTTTTCTAAATTACCTGGCTGTGGTGGCAACTACCTGTAGTCCCAGCTACTCAGGAGACTGAAGAGGGAGAATCATTTGAGCACAGGAGTTCAAGGTTATAGTGAACTATGATCGCATCACTACACTCCAGCCTGGGCAACAGAGTGAGACCCTGTCTTTAAAAATATATATAAGATAAAATAAAATAATTAAAACAATCAATAGCATTTTATGAATGGCCACTGTTACTGTTCACGGACCCAGCAATAGTTTATCTAGGAAACGGATGTAGTTGCTCTTCTGTCCCTTTCCTTTCTACTTTCCCGCCTCCAGCTTCCTCGAATTCCGAAGACACTAAGAAATGCACTACTCAGATATCCCACAGTGGCGAACACAATTGAGGAACAGCACCGGCTACTTCCTTTCTCAATCCACTGTCTCCTTCCCAGGGGGACCATAAATCCACAGAACACTCCCGATGGCACAGCAGAGGACAAATGTAGGTCCATTCCTAAAAGACAGATACCTCAGCTGGCCACGTTGGCTCAGTGTCTCCCATCAGCCTGGACGTCAGATCTACACTGAACAGTAAGACACTTCTTCCCCACTGCCAGTGCTCCTGCCTTCCCCCATTTCACAGGGTCAGAACTTCACGGAGGCTTGAGCGCTTTCACCACCTTCTCTCGCTCCATCCCCTTTTCCCTTCACAGGTGTTGCCTCCAGTAAATGTCTTGCAGATCGAATTGTGTCTTGTGTGCCTCAGAGAGGACCCCAACTCACACCAATCCTGTTGGCATTCCCCTTAGGAAGCTTCTCTGCCTTTACCTACTCCGCTGCCTACCAGAAGCTTGCTTGCTTGCTTGCTTGCTTGCTTGCTTTCCTTCTTTCTCTCTCTCTCTTTCTTTCCTTTCTTTCTTTCTCTTTCTTCCTTCCTCTCTTTTTCTTTCTTTTTCTCTCTTTTCCTTTCTTTTTTTTCTCTCTCTCTTTTCTTTCTTTCTTTCCTTCGTTCATTTTGTTTCTTTTCTTTGTCGCTGAGACAGGGTCTTTCTCTGTCACCCAGGATGTAGTGCAATGGTGTGATCATGGTTCATTGCAGCCTTGACCTCTAAAACTCAAGTGATCCTCCCAACTCAGCCTCCTGAGCAGCTGGAACGACAAGCATGCACCACCACGCCTGGATACGTTTTTTAAGAAACATTTGTAGGTCACGCCTGTAATCCCAGCACTTTGGGAGGCCGAGGCGGGTGGATCATGAGGTCAGGAGATCGAGACCATCCTGGCTAACAAGGTGAAACCCCGTCTCTACTAAAAATACAAAAAATTAGCCGGGCGCGGTGGCGGGCGCCTGTAGTCCCAGCTACTCGGGAGGCTGAGGCAGGAGAATGGCGTGAACCCGGGAGGCGGAGCTTGCAGTGAGCCGAGATTGTGCCACTGCAGTCCGCAGTCCGACCTGGGCGACAGAGCGAGACTCCGTCTCAAAAAAAAAAAAAAAAAAAAAGAAACATTTGTAGGGATGGTGTCTTGTTAGGTTGCCCAGGCTGGTCTTGAACTCTCTTTTACCTGCACACACCTCCTAACTCTACAAAGTCTCTTTTTCTTAGTTAGGTCCGTTACTGTCTGTTTTGTGTCCTGATTCTTCCTGAATGTCTAAAACTGTGGCTGACACATAGTAGGTACTCAGTAAGTATTTATCAAATACACAAATGTCAGTCCTGAGAAAGATACGAAAACAGTTCTGGAGCCTGGTTCTTTTCTGTAACATAGATACAAGCTGACTCTTATTGTTCCTGACATCTAGTGGCAGGATGAAAAACTATCCTGAGACCAGAAATTATTTCATTGGCTGGCTAAATCACACACCACAGAAAATGTCAAAAGGCCTACACCTTAGGGCCTATACAACTTTTACAGGGTTAGTACACCTTTCAGATTCTTAACTGGTTGTGTATTCATCAGTGAGAACCCAGGTAAATTCTAGCATGCAAGACAGAAATCCAGTGCAAAAAGGGGAAACAACCCCAGGCTGGAAAATGAGTTAGAAAATGGGCTGAACCTTACCATGACAGAGATTCTACAATCCTTACATTCTATTCTATCCACTTATGGAAATAAAAATGTACACACAAAGGCACAACACTTTCAACAACTTGCAGTATAATAGTAACAGGATTTAGAATATAAATAAGTCAGATTTTAATTTCCAGGCTTATCGTGGTCAAATAGTCCACTTGAAATCAACGAGAAGCTTAAACAAGGACGTGGTGAACTATAGGCACACCATGTTCTCACCTCGGAGGACCAGACACAATAAGAAAGAGCAGGGCAGCAGGGAGACCTCACATTTGTTGTTGCTGTTTTTTATTTTAGAGACGGGGGCCTCACTATGTGGTCCAGGCTGGTCTTGAACTCCTGGGCTCAAGTGATGGTCCCACCTAGGCCTCCCAAAGTGCTGGGATTATAGGCATGAGCCACTGCACTGGCAAAAACCTTTTATTACTTTTCTCCTTGCTATTACTCTGCATTCAATAAATATTAAGTTTTTAAGTGCCAACTCTGTTCCAGGTACTGTTCTAGGCTTTTGGGATACACACGTAACAGAACAGACAATAATCCCTACCCTTGGGGAGTGGAAGTCTCTCATTCCTCTAATCCTCCAAAGGATTACAACTTTATAGGTGCCTTGGCATGACCTATGTGTGCCCTTTGTGTCACAGGAGTGACGAGCCTGCTCTTGGGAGTGGCAAGATCTGTGGGAGCTTGGAAAGGATTAGGGAAGTGGGATCTGTTTGTTGGTGTGGGACAGTCTATTAAGCCAGCTACTCCAAAGTGCTGAATAAAGTATCAGATTTTCTGCGAGGACTCTATTGCCTGAGAAAGAAATAGGTCAGCACAAGACAGTTCCAGGGGGAATAAAGGTCCTAGGTACCAGATTTCCCTGAGGAGTTTGCTTGGGGTTGGGGTGGGTCACACAGGGTCTGCAATGGCAAGAGGAAGCATGAGGATACGTGGACCCCAAGATGGTAGCAGTAAAAGACATAGTTGGCGGCCAGGTGTAGTGGCTCACGCCTGTAATCCCAGCACTTTGGGAGGATGAGGGGTGGATCATCTGAGGTCAGGAATTCCAGACCAGCCTGGCTAACATGGTGAGACCCTGTCTCTACTAAAAATACATAGTAAAACAAAAACAAAACAAAACAAAACAATTATCTGGGTGTGGTGGCGGGCGCCTGTAATCTCAGCTACTCGGGAGGCTGAGGCAGGAGAATCACTTGAACCCAGGAGGCAGAGGTTGCAGTGAGCTGAGACTACACCACTGCACTCCAGCCTGGGCAAGAAAAGACAAACTCTGTCAAAAAAAAAAAAAAAAAAAAGTATTAGTTGGCATGAGTGACTACCCACAACCCTTCCTATGGAGAAAACAGGCTCTAAACCTGTCAACTGTAAAAAAGGATGAGAAAAACTGCTAGATGCTTGATCATTCCTTAACTCGTATTTTAAGAAACACAATGCATTTCCTATTTTCTGATGTAATATATGATTTTTTTTTCTGTTTTCATCTCTTAGAAAGCACGTCTCTGACAAGTAAGTTGGCCAAAGGTGCTATGGGCTTTGTCAACAGAAGATGAAGATATGAGCTCCACAACTTCATAGTTTTATAACCCTGGACTAATTATTTCGCCTTTCAGATCCTCAGTCTCCTTAACTGTACGGTAAGCAGTAATAGTATTTATCTAAATCCAATATTATATGTAGAAAGACCTCATGTGTCACACACATACACAACATATCAGTTTCCTTTTACTCTATAAAAGAGTAAAAAAGAACTTGTTATCAACTTCTAGTTCATGAAGATACACATACTGTGATTTTTCTGCTTTATTCTTAATCTTAAATAAAGAGATACAGTTTGAGAAACAAAGGAAGTCACCTCAACATGTTTATTTAGCCCTAAGGTCAGAATTTTCTTTTTTAAAATCACTTTTGGTGTTTTGGTAGAAACTGTCTATGAGGAAAGTTAGTATTGCTTAGTTACAAGGTTATCCATTTGAAGGTGTCTGCCTGATGTGGTAATTAAATAATTTATGTTAGAGTTAATAATTTATGTTAGTGTTATAGTGCTAATTAGGCTTCACATTTTTGCTAAAAGTATCTAAGTCAAGATAAAGTTTCTACATTTGCAAGAGACACGAACAGAATATATGCAAATATTTTTGGAAAAGTCATTTTACGAATTATAAATTAAATCTTTAGAATTTACTAAGGGCGCAGAACTTAAAAGGAGTTATAATGAAAGGTTCCTGAAGGTGATGGGGTGATCCTTAAAGGTGATGATGAAGAGATAGGCTTTTAGGTATGCTCCACTTTGCCCACAGGCTTTGATAATACCTATTAAAATTCACTGAGTATATTTCTACTCTTATTGATCAGAGTATGGTGTCTAAAGCGGGATCATTTGCACGAATCCCTCATATTCCAACCCCACTACCACCTAGCTTTTCTTTAAGAGGGTGGAATGACTTCATGCCCAGGTAAGCTCTGGGAGGCCAGAACCCTATTTGGAGTCTCGGAAGATGGCATCTTCACAGACAATTCCTGGTACCTGTTGGCATCCAAGCACTATTAGAGGCAGGGCTGGTCTTAGGCAGCTTCGCCGAGCTTCTCATGGACATAGAGTGATGTGGCGAAGCAGCCTAATTCTTCCACAGTTTGAGTAAAGCACAGAAATTAGCTAAGAGAGAGTTGGCTGACCTGAAGTAGTCACTTAATCAAAAGGAGGTGACATTGTGGTGGATGTAGTGTGAACACACGGCTGGAGAGCCAGATGCAGAGGCAGACATCTCAGAGAAGAATAACAACAGCTGAAAACCAGACGGGCCTGTGTAAACCACAGCTGGTCGCTGCATGGACAGTTACCAGATGAGAACCATATGTGCTATCCCAATGCTACGAGATCCTGCAGAAGCTCACCAGCACTTTGATGCCCCTCTGAGAAGGGTGGGAAAGAGGAAAATCTCAAACTGATGGTATTATATCCTGAAATCAAGCTTACCTGTCATTGATTACAGAGAGAGCTCTTCAATCAAGCAGAATAGAAGCCCAAGATTGAGATTCAGCTTAGTAATAAAGATTTTTATTTTTCCAAACATGTATTTAGAAGACATTGAGTTCATTGGCAAAGGTCTAGTTCCCTTTCCCAAAATTTCTCCTGAAATTCTCATGTCAGTATCTCTCAAACAGTTTTTCTGAAACACTAGTTTGATTGCATATTAGTAAGTGTTCTGGAGAAAGCAACAATTTCCTGATCAACAATTTCAGGGAGATATTGCTTAGTATACTAAAAGTTCTAAAAAATCTTGCAAAAGAAGCAGCTCTTTCTAATTTTATTTAAGCTTATATTTCCCCAAATTATTTTAATACAAAACATTTTTTTTTCTTCGCCAAACATCTATAAACCTCTTTGGGGGAAACTAGGTTTTTGTGGAAATAGTTGGACTCTGCTGTATTCTGCATGTAGTAGTATGTGGTTTCTATCTCCTTTTTTTCCAACTTAGAACAATGTGTATGTGATTAATTTCTGTCTCACTTTAAATTAACTAATTCAACAAACATTTTGTGATTACTTCCGCACTTTATCATTCTGGACCTGTCTAAACTTTATTAATGGTTTCAGTAATTCTTCCTTTCCATAAATCATAGGATTTTCCCTTGTATTAATATGCACTAACATCATGGATTTTTGTAAGAAAATAAATTGATTAATTGCAATCTACTTTTCTAATATAATTCTCTAGCATGAAATCATTCTAGCTAACATAGAAATAAAATCACAAACATGATAATACCTTCAATAAGATATTATATATAAAGTGTACACCTAGTACATGCATTCTTTAAGATTTAGCTCAGCTGTTTCTCTCTACAGGGAGCCACCCTGATACTCACCCTTCAGCTTTTGACTTTGCTGCGTGCCCTCGTCCGCATCCCTGTAATATTCTGCACATACTTCGCCATTGCACTTCTTATACACTAATCACTTTATGTACCCGTTTCCCACCTTCTAAGATTTACTTTTTTGGCAAGAATTGTTTTGCTGATTGATGTATCTCTAAGACTAAGCATAGTATCTGGCAATATTGTAACCATCCAGTAAAATTTATTCTCTAAGTATGTTTCTTCATAATACCTGAGTTTAAATACGTCCATGTAACTTTGATCATTAATGGTAGGTTGAAATTATGCAGTGTTCTGGTCTAATGGAGAGAAGAGTATTAGTCCTCGTTGCCTGTACTCTCCTATCCTGCAGTTTGCCCTCTGATGAAGGTCATGGGACAGTTTGAGGGAGAAAGAGCAGTCTTTAACTCAGGGAATTATTTGACTGTAACAAAAATCAACTATGTCAGAAAGCTGCAGTTGAGAACAGTTTAAACGGGCTGTAAATTATCTTGTTACAAAGTGACATATTCACAAATAAATAAGCAAACTGAAATATTAACTTGATATATACAATTGCGGTAATATCTGGGGATTTGGAGGTCCTCGGATAAAAGGATCTCACATTCGACCAGACACATATTGATGAATTCCATGCTGGCTCCTTCAATGAGAGAACAGTTTGATCAGAAAGCCACAAAGCTGCCCACTGAGATATCACAGAGAAAAAAAGTGGAGATTCATTAATACTTTAAAGGTGAAACTGCCTAATGCCAGTGACTCACACAGCAGGATACTGCGGCTTATGTAAATGGATGACTTCGTTAAGGATACAAAAATATTTTGCAAATTATGGGAGGTCAGAGATAGTGATTGACTGGGTTTAACTATGAACTCTTTCAGTAACATTCTACACTTTCACGGCAGAGAATTGCTCTGTCCACTGAGACAGATGGGGGAGGAGGAAGGAGGATGTTTTGACGAAGACCCCTTTTCATGTAAGACACTGGGTTGTAAGTTCCATACACACTGTTTAATGGCGAGCTTGTACATAGGTACAGTTGGTGTCATTTTAGAGTTGAGTGCACTGGACATGGGGCTTATTCCATGGCGTTTAAGAGCTTAGGTCCTGAGTTGGATGCACCTGGATTTCAATCCATGCTCTGCCCCTTGTTTAATAGTTCTGCAACTCTGGGCAAGTCACTCAAGCTCTCTGTGCCTCATTATCCTCATTCCTTAAATAGGCAAAAAACAGTGCCCGCTTCATAAGTTAGTCGTGTGTTTAGTAACCACTGAATATGTGTGTCGCTAATACTATAATGAATGACTCAGTCCTATCCTAAAATATAGAAAACATTTTCTCAGCCTGGACAACATGGTGGAACCTCATCTCTACTAAAACTACAAAAATTATCTGGGTGTTTGTCCCAGCTACTTGGGAGACTGAGGCAGGAGAATCACTTGAATCTGGGAGGCAGAGGTTGCAGTGAGCTGAGATCCTGCCAGTGCACTCCAGCCTGGGCAACAGAGTGAGATTCTATCTCAAAAAAAAAAAAAAAAAAGAAAAAAGAAAAGAAAAGAAAAGAAAAGAAAACATCATTTTCATTTTCTCTATGGAGAAGTTACAATTATTTTCTCACTGAAGTTATAATACACAAATATTATGTGATTCCAATGAATGTTAGACAAGATCAATGAAATATGATAGAAAATACAGGGAGTAAATAGACCCTGTTGGTCTACTGTATGGTTAGATTGTATGAGCTATTGTATGGTTACAGTATGGTTCAGCATGCTACACATATCTCACTTGGGGTTTAAGAGCATGGGCCTTATTTTGAACACAGGAAATATGTCATTTTAAATAGTGAGACAATTTGGGGTTATTAAATGACAGTGGAAAATTGGTTTTAAAAGTTGAATAAAAATGAATGTATGTCTGCATCTCAAATTCAGGATTAAAATAAATTCAAGATAAATGAGACCGATAGTTGGCTTTCAGTTCCAAAGTCCCACATCCTTTCTTTTGCTAAGGTAAAGACTATCTTCCAAGGTTTTTCAGGTTGAATTACTCCTCTCTTCATCCCCATTTATTTGCTGATGTTCAATAGCAATATCTCAGAATATGAACTTATTTGAAAGTAGAATAATTGAAGATATCATTAGTTACGTCAAGATAAGGTCATTAAGGTGGGCCCCAATCCAAAATGCCTGGTGTCCCTTTTTAAAGGGGAAACTTGGGCACAGAGAAACACACATAGTGAGAAAACCTAGTACAGATGAAGCCAGAGATCAGAGTGAGGCTTCTACAAGCCGAGAAATGGTGAAGATTGCCAGCAGAACTCCAGAAGCTGAGGAGGGACTGGGAACAGCTTCTTCCTTACAGCCCTGGAAGGAACCAGCCCTGCTGACGACACCTTGATCTCAGACTTCTACTCCCCAAAACTGTGAGGCAATGAGTTTCTGCTGTTTAAGCCACCCTCCCCGTGTGTGGTACTTTGTTAAGGCAGCCCTAGCAAACGAATGCACCCAGGTGCCATTGCAGCTAGTTGCGGTCATATGATGAAGTCCCAGTCCAAAGAACATTAGCAAAAGTATCGTACGCAACTCCCCAGTGGCCCTAAGAAGGGCCCGGCACGGTGGCTCACTCCTGTAATCCCAGCACTTTGGGAGGCCCAGGCGGGCTAATCACCTGATGTCAGAAATTCGAGACCAGCCTGGCCAACATGGTGAAACCCCGCCTATACTAAAAATACCAAAATTAGCCAGGCATGGTGATGGGCACTTGTAATCCCAGCTACTTGGGAGGCTGAGGCAGGAGAATCACTTGAACCCAGGAGGCAGAGGTTGCAGTGAGCTGAGATCGCGGCACTGCTCTAGCCTGGGTGACAAGAATGAAACTCCATCTCAAAAAAAAAAAAAAATTAAGAAGAATCTATTTGTTCTCTGTTCTCCTTTTCCTGCCATCACAGGCTGGAAAGTGGCTATTTTGCTGGTGAGCCAGCTTTGATTCTGAAGATAAGGGCAAAAGAAAAAAAACTAAAATAGAGAAGCAACATGATGGAAAATACATGGGTCCCTGGAAGACTACATATACCAAATTGCTTGCTGTTTTAGACAACTGGCCCACATCTAGAATATTATGTGTGAGAGAATTAATTTTTATAGCATACTTTTGAACAACTGTGCTTTGGGAGTTTTGTCTTATACCAATGTATTTTATTCCTTAGCTGATATAGTACATTAAAGTGATAACTGGGAAAGATGAAATTAAAAGAAATTAAAATGAATGTTGATCTATCTGTATGTATATGAAAATTTAAAGCTAAAAACCTGGAAGTAAGAAAAATTTTTAAACATGAAGACAACGTAAAAAAAAACGTAATAGATAAGGTTTCTATATTTGACTACAAATAAATTTAAGTATCTGCATATCAAAACAAAGAAACTAATTAAGTAACATAAAACTGGGAAAAATATTTGAAATATATGATAGACAAATGTTTGTTAATACACAACATAAAGTACTCTTAATCCGTAAAAATGATAAATGCATTCCTCATCCTAGCAAAATATAAAAGTGATCAACGTCACAAAATTAAAACCTGATATGAATTAGACAAAATTAAAAAAGAAAAGAAAACACCCACAATTCGCAAGGATCCAGGGGAATGTGTATATTCTCCCATCCTGCGAGTTGGAGGTTAAATTGTTATCTTCCCAGATGGTTATCCGAAAACATGTATCAAAAGGCATAACAGTGTTGTTCATACTCTTTGAACAGGAAATTCTACTTTTAGGAAAATATTTTAAGGGATTTATCTGAGAATAACAGAAGATGCACGCTCACATCAGTGTTATCCATAGCATAAATTAATAATAGGAAGTCCAACATTAAGTTTCATAAATTAGTTATATGTAAAATGCCTAAGTAAATCACAGCACATATCTAGAATGTAAAAATCATGTTGTTCAAAAGAAAACAAGGAAACTAGTGTCATAGAGTGTAAAGTTCTACTAAGTGAAGCAGTGATTTATAAAGTAATAATGTACAGAAAATTTGTGAAAGGTTACTACTGATTGATTATCCTGCTGGTGAAATTACGAATAATCTTTAACACTTTCTTTGCTTTTGCTTTTCATATGTTCAAATTTTCTGCCATATTTTGTAATCAGGAAACAAAAATCCAACTACTCACCAAAAATAAGGCTACATGCACTCTCAATTTCAATTTCAATTTCATACTCAAGAAAGTTTTTGGTTCATTCATACAGCATGTAGCTGAAACTGTCTTTACATTATATATTAAACTACATGTTATTGGATTTTCTTAATATTGAGGGATAAAGGTGGGGCACAGTGGCTCACACCTGTAATCCCAACACTTTGGGAGGCCGAGATGGGTGGATCACCTGAGGTCAGGAGTTCGAGACCAGCCTGGCCAACATGGCGAAACCCCGTCTCTACCAAAAATACAAAAATTAGCCGGACGTTGGTGGCACACACCCGAAATCCCAGCTACTCGGGAGGCTGAGGCAGGAGAATCGCTTGAACCCAGGAGGCGAGGGTTGCAGTGAGTTGAAATCGCGTCACTGCACTCCAGCCTGGGCGACAGAGACTCTGCCTTAAGAAAAAAAATAAAAATTAAGGGATAAAAATTATTAACTTGTGGGAAGTCACAGCCTTCCTCCTCCCTCCCTTGTTGTTGTCCACAAAAAAAGCTTTAGAGCCATGCCCTCCTGTTTGATTTGCTTTGCCCTGCACCGTGAGCAGAGAAAGAGCTGCTGTCTGTTCCTGAACAAAGCAGGCGGGGTGCTGGGCACGCCTTCCCGGACCTTCCTGGCTGGGGGAACTTCACTCAGCAACTTGGTTCCTCACGGGTAGAGTCATGCAGCTGTTAACAAACTGAGGTAGGTCAGTTGTGCTGCTGATGTGGAAAAATTCTAACCTACTTCCTGAAGCACAAAAATAAGGTAAATCATATTACGTTTCCTGAGTCCCTGTTTGTTTGAAAGAGTGTGTGTTGTAGACATACACACTTGAATATGGAGAGCATGTCTCCGGGAAGGCAGATTGGGAGTTGACATATGAAGGAGGAATTGATCTCCTTTCACCGATACCCTTCTCTAGTGTTCGAATTTTTCCTCATGTGTTTATATAATTTCAAAAATAAAACAAAGCAAATGAATGGTAGCCCAATACCTGTGTTAGAGACAGAATGTTTGTGTCCCCACACCCCCTAACTCATATGTTGAAACCTGACCTCACAACGTGATGGTGTTAGAAAGTAGGGCTTTGGGGAGGTGATTAGGTCATGAGGGTGGGCCCCTGTGAAGGGGATTAGTGCCCTTACAAAACAGAGCTCCCTCACTCCTTCTGCCATGTGAAGCCACAGTGAGAAGACAGCATTCTATAAACTGGGAAGCCAGTGCTCACCAGACGCTGAGTCTGCTAGTGCCTAAACCTTGAACTTCCCAGCCTCCAAGACCACGAGAAATGCATTTCTGTTACTTTTGAGCCATCCAGTCTAGGGTATTCTGTTACAGTAGCCTAAACAAACTAAGACAAGTCATTAAAATAAAAGCTAAAATATGTCATTGTTATTCTAAAAAATGAAGGCCATGACATTTAATAATTATATTCCTGTTTTAAGATCCAAATCTTTAAGTGAATTAATTTAGTGGACATTACACATATTCATTACTTCTTTGAGCCAGCAAGGAAGCCTGTGGTTTCTCAATGTCTCCTGCGTGTGGTTTCTCAATGCCCCTAGGCAAGCTGCACCTTGAAGATGCAGTTGTAGTTTGGCTGGTATGCGGCTGAGTGCAGCCTCCTAGGCAAACAAAATAGCAGGGGCAAAGGCACAGGGCATGGAGCAGAATGATGCAGGCGTGACATTGCCACATTAGAATCAATACTCGATAGTCATAATGTTAAATATATTAGTAATAGCTAATGCTTCTTGAACACTTAGTATATGCCAGGCACTGTTCTAAATGTTTCACATGGTATTAATTCATCTACTCTTCCTAATAATGAAGAAAAGTTATTATGCAATTTTTCAAATAAGGAAACAGAGACTGGAAGAGCTTTAATACATTGCCCAGAATCACAAAAATAGTGACTGGAATATCTGGGATTTGAACTCAAGTCTTCTGAGTCTAGAATCCCTTTAATCACTACTCCAAGCTGCTGCCTATGTAAAATCTCATAGAAAATTACAAGCCATAATTTAAAAGGTCAGAAAACAGGTTGGATCAATTTGCCATTGTGGGTCGGTATACACATTCTTTCTTTATTGGGCTATTTATTTTTAGTAACTTTTCTTCCTGGTCTCAGGGTTAAATCGTTGAATAATCAGGAGATTATCAGAAAGAATCAGAAGAAACACATTTTAAATCCTTATGTTTTTCCCTTCGTCATTAGTGGATAATTATTCCAATTACCCTTTAGGAAGCACTTTGCTTATATGTACTCACTGGAATTGTATATCATTTTTTTTTTAATTCGAAAAGCAAGTCGAATCCTTAAAGTAAATCCTTCACATTTGAAGGATTTGAAATACCAAACAGAAGATAAACAAAGGTCAGATGTCAGTGTGCTATCTACCAAAAGCTCTACTAGCCAGCACATCAACATATTTACAGTAAAATAATAAGTGAGATTCATAATTATATCCTTGAGGCTAAGTTTCCCAAATGCTCTTGAAATGATCAAATATTAAGCCATGGTTACAATATTTCTTTTTGCATAAACTGGATTTTAATTCCTTGAAAACTTTTCTTGCATGCAGGTATTAACCATAAAATTTGATTAACCCAAATATCTTTTGCCTGACCAATGCCATATTGCAGTTGGTGATATAGCTTTGCTCTTCTATGCATTTGGAGAATAGCCAGGTGTTTCCCTGTTATTACAGAACATGGACTATTGATAAACGTTGCAACCTCACAACCCAGGCATCATTGCAACCAGGAATGCTCTGGAGGGGTCCTCCCAGGCATACCTATTATTTCATAAATGCATCCATTTGGACTGACAGAAAACTGTCTGCATGGATTATGGAATGGTTTGTGAAAGGGAGTATTCATAAGTGCTTGCCTAATAGTTTATAATCCCGTATTGAATAGTTCATATACTACTTTATTACCCATGTCACGATCCACATTTGTATTTTAGCAGAGCTGTGGCCAAACTGTTTATTCATGTTCAGGAATCACATCAATAGTGGGTTTTACAAGCCTCTTGGAATTTATTGTTGAACTCAGTTGTGGAGTGATCTGTGCTTTGACAGGACATCATACTCTGTAAGTTCAAATCTATATTTTTGTCCAAAAGATGAGTGTGTTGACAAATTTTTGGCATGGACCTTCTATATTCTGTGTCAAGTGAGACTCTTGTCTGAGGCTTTTACAAAGTACTTGTGAAATTGATCTTCCATATAGATTTTCTCATACACTCTTTCAATAGCTGAACTTTCTCAATAGTACTCAGGCATCAAAAATCAAATCCCTTCAAAATCTCTAGAGGGTCACATCTCCCAACTGCTTTGGAAACCATTAAACAGAACAAATTCACAGCCTCTCATTTGAAGAGGAATACTTTGGCATCAGCAATCACTGCAGGAACATAGGAACATGTAACACTTTAGGCTTCGATAGACCTGAAAGTTCCTTCACTCTCCTACAACGTCTTTACCTCTGGAAATCTAGGGATATCTTTGCCTTATTTTTATTTTCTAAATTTTAACTTATGTAGAAATATATGGAGAGGTCAGGCGTGGTGGCTTACGCCTGTAATCCCAACACTTTGAGAGGCCAAGTCAGGCAGATCTCTTGAGCTAAGGAGTTGGAGACCAGCCTGGGCAACATGGCAAAACCCTGTCTCTACTAAAAAGACAAAAAAAAAATAGCTGGGGGTGGTGGCAGGCACCGGTAGTCCCAGTGACTAGGGAGGCTGCGGTGGGAGAATCACTTGAGCCTGGGAAGTCGAAGCTGCAGTGAGCTGTGATTGCGTCACTGCACTCCAACCTGAGCAATAGAGTGAGACCCTGTTTAAAAAGAAAAAAAAGAAAAGAAATATATGGAGACGTGTGTACTTTGCCCAACACATTCAATATGTATAAAGTAACTTCAATAAAATTTAAATGATAAAATATTTTCAACATGTGGTTTCTCTTACTTTTAAGCACAGTTCCATACATAAAAGTTGAAAAGGGATCTATTACTTTGGAATGGGGCTGCATATATAACGCAACTGCAAAGTAGGAATTGGCCTAGGTGGCTATGCAAGGGTTAAAAATATATCCATCATCTTCTAAATACTGACATTGTGACCCATTGACCTTGTTTCTTGAAGACACAGTGGAGACAATTATAATGATTCAAAGAGTAACTCCTCCACATTTTTACCTATTCTATTAAGCAAATAATGCTATGAGCCTGTTATGTTCTGTGTAGCACCTGACACTTTTTCTTTCCAGTATTATTCTGTAGACCATACCTGTTGCAAATTTGCACAAAGAGGGCTAATGGGAAAAAAGTCCAGAATGTGGACTTTTTAACATTAGTGTCAAAATTTCTGAGATACATTTCTGACTTAACCATCATTAATAACAAGATTTTTTACATCAAGGCTGTAGGGGAAAGAGATAATATTATATGAAATCAAAGAGTTGGGAGAGCTTTCATAGGGTCAAAACCGTTACGTTTTCTCATTACGCTGAATTTGGTATACTATGCACTTGAGATGTTGCAAGTTATAAAGTCTTATAAAAATGAAGACAATGCAAAATTTCGAGAAGAACAAATGAAAAATGTTATGAAATCTCATGATAATGACCCACTGAGGAAAGAATAACAGATGAATTTTACCAAAAATGCATCAACGCTTCTGGATGAAAAATTCATAATAATAAAGAATCGAAGTGCAGGTAGTAAAACAAAGAAAACAGTAGATGTGTTCACATTGGTTATCTTTATATACTAAATCATGCCTTTTACTATGAATGCACATTAAAAACTAGTTGTAATAGAAAAAATGTCCAGAGTATATAATTTTTTAAATGATGTAAGTCTTTAACGAATAAAAAAGCTTGATTCTTAATATCTAGTTACTGTTAGAATAGCAATAATATGTGTATATCAATGTTAATTAAAGTTTATAAATTATTGTCAAGGCTTCATAAACTAATGTTGTAAAATTGATATACTGTACATTATTCAATTTAGAAAAAAACCCCACAAATTAGAATCTACTGAGCATCCAATTAGTAAGCTATCAGGCATGAAATTCCACATTAATTTCATACATCAGCCTCTTACAATATAAAAAAAAATTCTGTCAGGTACTGAAGATATAGGGAAAGACAAAAGTCGTGGAAGTTCTATAATCTTAAGGAAGAAAATACAAAATAATAAAATGTATAAATTTCCCTTGGATTATTACCAACCAACTTGTTGGCAATGCAAATTCCACTGTCTACAGATTCAGAGCTGAGGAAAAACATGTTAAGGACAAACATCTTGAGAATAAAACATCCCTAAGGTAATAGTAAACACATGAAAACCTGGAAAATATTTTTTGACCTGAATGCTTTTTGAACTTGTCAAAGTTCCTTAAGGCTTATAAAGGCATGGCAGACTGGCTAGTTATTTATTCATCAATACCCATGTTCTCTCTTCTAGGTTCACTGCCAAGCTTCATGGCCCACTCTCCCTTGCATTTAAGTGTGGTCACCCAACTGAGTTCTGGCCCATAGTATGTGAGCAGAAGTGATGTATGATGTATGCTATTCAGATCTCTAGTCTGATCTTCCACATTCATTTCATTCAATATCTGGCCAGAGGTACAGGATATAGGGGAGAATTCCAAGGCTTTAGGAGATGGTAGACACACAGATAGAACACCTGGAAGAGAGAATGGGCTAATCTTCACTGGACTGCAACCTAAACTTGAACTAACCTTTTCTGTATCTCGTAATTGAGGCATTAAGGATACTTGTTACAACGTTGATTAATACACAAGGGAAAGCCTAAGTTAGAAGCAGAGATCACTAACTTGCTTATATTGAAGAATTTTATTTGTTTTTATCAATTAAATATGGTTGCTTGTTGAGTTATTTAAATTGGATTTCAAATTTCTAAAACTGATCATACCTTAAATAAAGCAAATCATAGGAATTAACACAGTTGGAGCAGAATGCCAAGTATGGTACTTTTCTGTCCACTTACAATAAGAAGCAACTAATTTTTAGTGGCTAAGATAATATAGTCTCGAATGAGACAGAACTCGATTAGTACCCTAACTCAAGCAGTAACTAGCTATGTGGCGTTGCACCAGTCTGCGAACCTCTATAAACCTCACCTTTCTCCTCTGTAAAGTGAAGAAAATAATAGTATCTACTTCATGGTTATGAGGATGAAATATGGCAATGCATTTAAAGTGTTTGGTCTGCCTACCATGTAGGAATCACTCAATAAATGTTAGCACTCATTATTGTCATTATTAATAACAGGCAATACTGCTAGAAAAGGTTCATACTTTAAAAAATACACTGTACTATGGAAAATGATAAAAATATAAAATTATTACCGGTTAAATTCTATCTCTTGTCAATTTTAAGTGGTGACATTTAATCTGGCTAAGTGCAGAGACGCATTCAAAGTATTAAAAATAAACTGATCCAAAGTAAACTGATGTTACAATAGATGGCAAAACAAAATCAAGCTGAGTTCTTCTTCTGGAATAAGCACTTGGAGCTGGATTAGCCATTTAAGTCCTTTCTTTAAAGCCAACTTGCTTCCGTATCAGCCACTATTTCAAAGGGACTATTTAACAGGTTGTCAACTTCAGTATGAAACGTTTTCCACTTTAGAAATCGAAGATTCATTATTTTGCATCAAACATTCTCCTCTCATTGGCACAGTGTTTTCAGAAGGCTAAATTAATAAAGAATTTAATAACATCCATGAGGTGAAATGGGATGTAGACATTGGAAATGGACAGAATGTCTGGTTTGGGACTATAGCCACACAATGACAACATTTTCTTCAATTCTAGGAAGAATTTATCTTAAGTTCAGAGGTGAACTAGATTCTCTTGAATCTTCTCAATTTATGTTCTCATCATAGATATTAGTAACATTATAATTATTCTGCTCATCATCAAACTATTATTATGCATGTAATTGTAACCAATTGATTGACGAAGCCTAACTGAGTGAGTTACAAGCAGGAAGCATGCTTATTCTTTCTCAGCCCTCCCCGTTAAACTCACTCTGTTAATGTTTTCTTTAGCTGTACATGAGACTGACATTCAGGCAGACACCGCCCGCAGCTTTTCAGTGGGTCCTTAGACAAAAGTCCAGATCAGAGTGATGTGGATTTCACTCTATTCTAGTAATTACGTAAGTGCCAAATATTTATCCAATGGAAAGCATCTACCTTTCCTCATCTTGGGCTGGCTTCAGCCTCTGATTTTCCATGGTACTGTTCTACTTATCCTCTTCCTCCTCCTGCTAGCCCAACCACAGAATCATTAGGTTAGGTTTCTATACAGTTAGAGCCGCATGAGGGAAGACAGGGGAAAAAAGGGAGCAGAGTCAGTAGCTGAAGGCAAGTAAAGGGGAGGAGGCATGGAGAGCTGGCAGAGAGGACAGAAGGGTAAAGTAGTCAACTCAGAGAGCGGGGGGATGGAGCAGGATTGCTGGGCAGCGCTAAGAGCCCACTTAAAGGGAGAAGTCCTGAATTTCAGGCTTCAGAATTATGAGTTTGTCCCCAGCTTCATCTAGTTGCTTCACAATTACTTGACAGCATGACCCACTAAACTACAAACTCCATGGGAATAAAGACCCTTCTATTGGCCGGGCGCGGTGGCTCACGCCTGTAATCCCAACACTTTGGGAGGCCGAGGCGGGCAGATCACGAGGTCAGGAGATCGAGACCATCCTGGCTAACACGGTGAAACCCCGTCTCTACTAAAAATACAAAAAATTAGCCGGGCGTGGTGGCAGGCACCCGTAGTCCCAGCTACTCGGGAGGCTGAGGCAGGAGAATGACGTGAACCCGGGAGGCGGAGCTTGCAGTGAGCCGAGATCGCGCCCCTGCACTCCAGCCTGGGCGACAGAGCCAGACTCCGCCTCAAAATAAATAAATAAATAAAAAGCCCTTCTATCTCATTCACCATTGAATTGCCAAGGCCCAGTACCATGCTTGGATATATACATAAAATATATCTATATTACACATATGTGTGTGTGTGTGTGTATATATATATATATACGCATACACATACACACACACTACACACACACACACACACACACACACACACACACACACTTAATGACTATAATAGCGACCTGACTTGCCAGGTAAAGAGCTTAAATGTACTCTAAAATTTTCTGGATCTTCAGGATCTAAGATACAGAGACTAGCCTAATTGTCCCAAGGCCATTCATTTAAAAATAATTCTCTACAAGGATGAAAGGAACAACATAACTCCAAACCAAAATGTTCAAGCCCCATATCAAGTGATTTTCAGCAGTTCAAAAATCAAACATGATTTGTGCAGGGATATTTTTATTCATCAGGAAGGGCCTAGAAGGGAGTCAGAAAAAGCACCATCGACAAAAGGAAGTGTGTGTGGTGTGTGTGTGGTGCGTGCGTGTCTGTGTGCACACGCACGTGTTTACACATGGAACTCCCTAAATCATGAAATCAAATGAATTAGCAAACTTCTTGTAAATAAGCCAGTTTTGGGAAAGCCCACATTGGAATACGGAAAGACTTCCGGGACCTCCGAAGTTTGTCCTAAGGAAGTGGTTTCGCTGCCTTTTTGCTCTCCGACTCCTACTACTGTTTCTGTCCCTTCATCTCTTACACAGTAAATCTTTCTCTTCTCAACCACCCAGAAGAACATAATAATAAAGCCCATTTTCCCCCCAGTAACTGAGAATGCAGAAAACATACAAAGCTAAAGCTACAGCCTACGATATGGCACGTTCTCAAAATAATAACTCAGAGAAGCTTTTGGTTTATAGAAAATTATTACAAGTGTTGACAGGACTTTATAGTGAGTGCTTTGAGGAAGCTCTTACGAGAGGAACTAATGATGTTTCTGAATCAGGGATTAGAACCTTTGCATTCATGAGCAAATCGGCTTTCTATTGCACCATCACTTTCTAAACAATAAAGAAATGGATATCGGAAAGATACTGCTAACACTAATGACACAGGAAATGCTTATAAAACGATATGCCATCATATATTTTAATCTGTTTTTCTCAATAGACTTAATCATGCTTGGGGAAAAGTCAGTGTAGTTTTCTGCCAAAGAATGAAGAGTTACCAGTTTGACTATTCGAAAGAGCCAGTATGATTTATGTCATAAGCATTTTTGGATGAAATTAGGAAAACTTCCCTTATCTTATTTTCTCCCATATTTACTGAAATATATTTGCTCAATGTCAGGAAGAAAATTACTCTTTCTATTCTTAGAGGTATGTATTAATGTTCTTTACATTTAAACACATTCACACACACACTGTCTCTCTCTGTCTCTCTCACCTCCTCCCACCCCACATAAACATCTGCAAATAACTTACGGCCTAATCTTTTGAACCAAGAACTAAAAACCAAGGAAACACCTTGAATATTTTTCAAAACTCATGTGATAATATTTGCTGGAAAGAATACAGGCAAAATTTATATACACACACACACACACACACACACACACACACACACACACACACACACACATATACATATATATATATATATATATATATATTATTAACTGCCTATTTTGCAAAATACAAAATAACAAATAAAACCTCAGCAATTCTGGTTCAAAGAAAGTTTAGACATTTACTGTTGAACCTTTTTATTCACCATTTCCCATTTCCCAGCACAGTATATTGACGATTTAGGCCATCTCTTTTCAAACACTGTTTGTGACAACGATTGCCCTATATCCCTGACAGAGGCTATTCTCCATGAAGTTTTCTGGAGTGATTGAGATAAAAATAAAAATGTTCTGATATTTTCCCCCAGGAAAAGTGCCAGTGGTTGCCGAAGCTCAAATAAGCTTTAACTACATCCCACAGAGCAACGCTTCATAGTGTATTATTAGTGTGATCAAAAAGGATGACAACATTTCCAGGAAGACCTAAGTAGCAGCCCACGTTAAACATTATGTGAATGTGCCATACAAAGTTGCCAGTCCCTGAGTGTGTATCTGCCTCAAATTGTGCATTTATTTCAAGTAAGACCTTCACTAATTGTAACTAGAAAAAGAAATCCTCATTCTCAGGATGCATTTTTACTTCCTTCAGGTTTTTTGTATTAGATCTTCCAGAAAGAGCAGGAACAAAATATATGCTTCCTCAATCCATTGGAAATTGAGTTGGGGTAACTCCACATTCACTTTAAGAATTTGTTTCTGCTTTAGTCAAGAGAGAATGGGAGCATGCTACCATAACCTGCTTCCCAGGGGTGGGGGAAAAAAAGAAAATTCCTTGCTCCTGTTCACCAATGTTGTAAAATCCATCAAGGTGCTTCACTTTATCAATATATGCTGAGTTCCTTACCCAGTAACTCCGAGATATTTAATAGCACTAATCATCTGAAAGGTAATGGGGAATGAGCCCACTGACTTACAGGAATGGGGACATCATGCACAAAACATATAAATTATTAAAGTATGGGTAGTTTGCAGGAGAGCATGGACTTTGTGCCTGATAGATCTGAATTCAAATGCTAACACCGCTTGTCATTAGCATGTAAATATGGGACCGTTACTTAGTCTCTCCAAATTTTTTTTTATTTGCTATAAAACTAGAGTAATAATAAATACTGCTTAGAGAAATTCTGAGGAATGTATTTAATGACATATAAAAGACTTGGATAGACTCTAGGCTATCTTTCAATATCCATTCTCTTCTTCCTCTGCAACCTTGTGGTCATACCATGGCATATTTTTAATGCCAGTCATTTCATGTTCCTCTGCCCTGTAGGTATCTAGGATATATCAGTGCATCAGTGTCAGCATGCACTGGACCTGAGCAACAAGCAACATTCAGAAAGACTCGATCATTGACCACCATCAATTCATACTGTTCAGTCACAAAAAGATGGTTGCAGAGCATGTGCTTATTTAGTTCTTTTGGTAGAGAATTTGCAATAATTCCATTACAGAGATGCTAGAAGTTGATTTCCATTTGAATGCCACCTTTGATTAAGAGCATTTAGCTTGTTTGCTGTAGGTAGGTGGTACTAGTCATTGGCTATGATCAAAGTAGAGAATCTTCGTAAACTGAAATTTAGATTCCTGAAAAGAAAATAATTTGATTCCAGGGAATTCATGTTATAATCCAAATCTCATACTGGGGAAAAAAATCTGTTTCTCATGAACATTACTGTAGTCCCTTCTGTGGACTTTATGAAAAGACATTTTGTGACTTCAGTGAAAACATACTGTCTCCCATACACTGTTACTCTTTTGTTTAGGTTACCACATTTTTTAGTCAATTGGAAGTGTTATCTAACACTTTATTGGAAAATCAGAAGTGTAAAATGAACCCCGAGCACTCTTGTCACCATGGGAAATGCTGACGAGACACATTATACCCATTATATCTTTAAGTTGTTAAAAGAAAAAAAAACTGTATGGTTTTTAAAAATCACATTTGGGTATTAGGTGTACCAGAATCAGAGAAATTCAGTGCTGAAAAGATATTTATAGAGGATCTAACCCAGCTTCCTTGTTTTATGGGCTGAGGAAACCAAGATAAGATTACTATTAAATATGCAAGTCTGTCCCCACCCCAAGCACAGGGAAATTTTGAACAGGATTAATCAAAGCATGGGTCGTGGGGATCCAGTGGAGGAAATGGGGATCACTTAGAGCCTATTATGTGTTTTCCTGGAATAAGTCAGGCCATTACCTAAGAATCTGGGGTACAGGAAAAAATGAAATAATTTTAAAAAGAATATACCATATGATCCATTTTAGAAAAGAAAATACACATGCTCACAAAACCAAACACATTCATATGCATACATGCCTGGAAGGGCTGAGCACAGAGCTTGGCCTAACACAGACCTGTGTTGGAGAGAGGCTGGTGGCTTCATGCAGGCTCTGGTCCATACTGGTAAGCCCCACCAGAAACCTTATTTAAAGAAGCACAGTGCGTGCAGGGAAAAGTACTACCGAGGATAACAATGATGTAAAATGGCATGATTGCATGTTCATGTCATTACGCTGGAGAATAAAGAGGATGTGAGTCATCCTCCTGGCGATTGCCAGCAGTCCCTTGTCTCTTTCATGTTCGTGCCCCTGGAGCTGAGCCTCCGGCTTCCAGTCCAGGTGACTTACCATTGGCACTGTTTCTCCCTAGTCAAAGGGACCTCTGGCGGGGCAGCCAGTAGGTTGGGGTGGGAGTATAGGGTAAGGGGGTGAGGGCGGAGATGAAGGAAATGTGTATGTTCAGGGACAGCAAGTAAGCTGAAGTTCCAGCATTCTCAGTGCCACTCTTTGGAAGCATGGATGTTTGTGAAGAATGTGTTACCATCGCCCCATTACACAGATGTCAACTCTGCCAGAATGCCTTCCAGGCTGACAGGATTACCCATCCTCCTTTGGGCTCCAGTTACCTTCTGTTTTTACCTTGATTCTAAGGGAAGGAGATTTAGAATAAATGTTATCATTAACTTGCATATTTGCCTCCTGTAAACCCTTTCAGTCATACTTTTAATATCACAAATGCCCTGGAGCAAGAGCTTGTCAATGAACATTGACAATAAAATCATACTTGCTCCAATGGCGTCTCTACTTTAAAATGTTTCCTTGCTCCTCCCATTTCAAAATTGTCACGTGGTATGTCTGTTTATTAATGTTCTGAGATGGCTCTTATCTTCCTCCTAGGGTTGACTATATCTCCCTCTTTCTTGGTTTAATCTTTTGCTTGGGAGAGGCACATCATCAAAAAGCTTCCTGAGGAATCCACGTGGAAATTATATTTCTGAGAACACCTCTCAGTTAATTTTAAACCCTGTACTCCCTCAATCAGATGAAAACCGAAAGAAATGTTAAAAAGTTGGGATATCATTTTTTTATGGCTGCATAGTATTCCATGGTGTTTATGTGCCACATTTTCTTAATCCAGTCTATCACTGATGGACATTTGGGTTGGTTCCAAGTCTTTGCCATTGTGAATAGTGCTGCAATAAACATACGTGTGCATGTGTCTTTATGGCAGCATGATTTATAATCCTTTGGGTATATACCCAGTAATGGGATGGCTGGGTCAAATGGAATTTCTAGTTCCAGATTCCTGAGGGATCGCCACACTGACTTCCACAATGGTTGAACTAGTTTACAGTCCCACTAACAGTGTAAAAATGTTCCTATTTCTCCACATCCTCTCCAGCACCTGTTGTTTCCTGACTTTTTAATGATCGCCGTTCTAACTGGTGTGAGATGGATGAAGCTGGAAACTATCATTCTCAGCAAACTATTGCAAGGAGAAAAAAACAGACACCGCATATTCTCACTTATAGGTGGGAATTGAACAATGAGAACACATAGACACAGGAAGGGGAACATCACACACCAGGGCCTGTTGTGGGGTGGGGGGACGGGGGAGGGATAGCATTAGGAGATATATGTAATGTTAAATGACGAGTTAATGGGTGCAGCACACCAACATGGCACATGTATATGTATATGTAACAAACCTGCACATTGTGCACATGTACCCTAAAACTTAAAGTATAATAAAAAAAAGAAAAAATAAATAAATATCAATGGAAATTACAAGGTAAAAAAAAAGTTGGGATATCTTTGGAGCAAATATTATTTTAAGATATTGAATAAGAAAGTTAACTATAACTAAGGCATTGTTTCATTTTCTTAGTGTCCAGTGTACTAAGTGGGAAAATCTCATGTTTAATTGTCTTTCATATTAATGATCTTTACTCTCTAGAGGCTTTTAGGATTATTTCTTTACTCCTGGTGTTCAGAAATTCCACAACAGTTTTACTTGGTGTGAATGCTTTTTAATTCTTGCATGTTTTTGTACATGTTTAAAATAATTTTTGATTTTATATTTCCTTATTTCAACTTTTTGGAATTTTTATTAGTTTGATATTACATATCTTGGATTGATCCTCTAAATAACATAGATTATCCTAGATATTACATATTTTGGATTGATCCTCTAAATAATATAGATTATGTTACTACTGATCATCTTCTTTATTTTCTGTGAGATTTCTTCAACTTTGTCTTCCAAACCTACTACTATTTTTTCAACTTTGGATATTTGTATGAGTCATTTCTTTCTCTCTATATAAAATGTCATATTTTATGTTTCTGAAGATATTAATTATGGTTACTTTGAAGTATTCTGCTTTCTGTACTTTTTCTCTTTTCTCTGATTTTATTTTACTTCCTCATTTTGTTCTGCTTTTCTGCCTTTCACATGAAGAGGCTTTTCTCCAATGTTTTAGAATTCTCAACTAACTCATTACATTTAAGAATAAAGTGCTAAAAAATGGGGGTAGGATCATTTGTGCACATGGGCAGGGCTTACTGGCAGATGATTAAGGTTTTGAATCTGGATGGGTCAAATAATATTTAGGAAAAATGAAATGTGAAGTAGCAAGAGCAGCAGGAATAAGCATCCCTTCCCCAATACACAAACAAACAAAAATCCCCAATACACACAACAAACAAAAACAAAAAAACAAAAAAAGAAGCTCTACTGGAAGGTAGGTTGGAGACATGGGGAAAAACAACTGTGCAGTATCTAACTTCAGTCTATAAAGATCTACACATGACTCAGGTGCCATTTCTTCTTCTTCTTCTTTTTTTTTTTTTTCTGAGACGGAGTCTCGCTCTGTCGCCCAGGCTGGAGTGCAGTGGCGCGATCTCGGCTCGCTGCAAGCTCTGCCTCCCGGGTTCACGCCATTCTCCTGCCTCAGCCTCCCGAGTAGCTGGGACTACAGGCGTCCGCCACCACGCCCGGCTAATTTTTGTATTTTTAGTAGAGACGGGGTTTCACCGTGTTAGCCAGGATGGTCTCGATCTCCTGACCTCGTGATCCAGCCGCCTCGGCCTCCCAAAGTGCTGGGATTACAGGCGTGAGCCACCGCGCTCAGCCTCAGGTGCCATTTCTGTAGAATAGCTTTTTACTAAAATAACCAACGTGATAATAAATGTGTTTAATGGTAAATTAATCAGAAGAATGCTAATTTTTAATGATGGTGTGCAGTTGTACTGTGAGCACGAGTTTCTCAGACAATATAATAGATTTTGGACTAATCAATGGCCATGAAGAAGGAAAAAGAAGCTGCGACAGCTAAATGAAGCTATACGAAGGGAGAAGTAGGAGCTGGCCTGAAAGGGGCTATCTGAGTTGACAAGCCTCTAGAGGCCACTCACACGCACACTATCATGGTCTAAAAAAATAGATTTGCACTCAATGCATAAGAACGCAAGACCTTTGCAGTGGCCACCAGAGAGAAAATGTCAGATAGGGAAACCGTGGCAATAACAGGCCGTGTGTGAAAGCTTCCTCTGTATGTTTCCAAGACATGGTGAAGAGAACTATCCCATCATTATATTTACTCCTTGCATATATGTGCACTTTTTCTGCAGAATAATGGTGCTTCTCAGTGGATCTTCTTTATGCAAAAAGAATGGCTGCAGACACGTGAAAAATAGCATGAAAACATATATTTCTTTCTTCAAATCAAAGTATGTCATTAAGAAAATACGAGTAGAAATGATCTAGGACTATTTGCATAAAATAGATTTACACATGCTGAATTTCTTTCCATTGTTATTCTGCTGTAATGTAAAAATAATTAAAAATATCTTTAATTTTAAACATATTTGGTATATGCAGCATTCATCAGGTTCTGAAAATAAAACGTAACCCAAAGGACTCTTTTTAAAAGATTGAATTTAGACCTTGTCTCATAATACACTTCAATTTCCTCTTGATTTGTCACTTAAAGCCTCTAAAAGCCTCAGAAGAGCACTTCATTTTCTAAAATCGACTATTATCCTTAACTTAAAATAAAAATACCTAGAAGTAATAAATTCTGGGGTAGGTGATCCTTTAATCTCCTAATTAAGGACAAATAATTTTTAATTTTTCTTTCCGTTACTTCTTGATGGAACCCCAACTTGAGGTGCCTTGTTTTATCTGTCCTCTTACTCAAGAAACAAAATGGCTACAAACCACGGACTAGTAAAAGTGTTTCAAATGGGACACTTCATTAGGCAGAGGCACTGTTTGTTATAAAGGGGAAAAAATCCACATTAAAGTTTTACATATTTGTTTACTAGCAAAATCAGATGAGATAAACAGAACACACAACAAGGAACCTAGGATTAAACAAAATAAATCTCTCTTGACTCAAACCTAATAACTTGCTCCAAAAGCTCTCATAAATTATTAGCTTCAAAATCATTCAATGTATCTGAAACGGAGTGTGTGTCACTGATGTACTTGAAGTTCACCTAAGAAACTATCATCAAAATGTGCCGACAAAAAACTGCCAGCAGCGATGCCACCTTGCAATCAATCAAATATCTGTTTCAGAATTATAAAGTGTCTGAGAGCTATAATTTCATCTGCTTCTAGCTGCATATCATTTAAAACTTCATATTCTCATGCAGGAAGAAAAAGCAAAAACATTTGTCAGCTCTAATTCCCTCTCTATGAAGACCCACTGTTTTTCACAGCACTGTCTGGCTTCCTTATTTTAATTTGTGTCTTAGAAATCATTTTTTCTCATGGACTACATGTGGTCCATAGTTTATGAACACTGTAGTATAGTCAATTCTCAATTATCTGTCTGAATGGAATCCTATGGTGGCACCGATAATCCAAAATCACTTGATATTTGACTTTAGAATACATTATGTGAATTTCCCCTGGGAGGTTTCCCTTCTTGCTAATGCGTTGCTAGAACTAATATTAAAATATGTTTGTATTCCTTGAATGCATGCCAACTGACAGCGGCAGGGGGCAGCCCAGAAGTGGGCGGCAGGGGTAGGTGAGACTGGAATTAAATGCTTCCATGAAGAATTGCCAATGTGAGTTTTTCAAATGTGGGTAATTGAGACTTGGTTCCATACGAGTTATAGTTTTTTTTTTTTTTTTTTTTTTTTTTTTAATCCTGAAGGAAAGAAATCGCTTTGAAGTATTTGAATGCAAAAGACCGTATTTTAAAATATTAAGTAAAAGCCATTTTAGCTTAACTAGTTAGCAATGGATCAGAAATTCGTTTATTTTTAAAAGACACAATATGAAACACTCTTGCAAGAGTTTATTTATAGTTAGAAATTTATTATTATAGAATAGATATCCTATATCATTTTTACCTTGATATGATGTTAAGAAATGACTTGCCACCATTGGTTATTTGCAGTCAATTCTTGAAGTATTATTTGGCATTCTGGGGTAACGGAATTAGAACGAAAGGCAATAATGAACTAATCTTCTCAATCTATTTTTAAAAATTAAATCATCTCATTGATTATTCTCTTTCTTCATTTCTGTTCTCACCACATGTTTAAAAACTGTGTAAATATTCAGTTCAGCGAATGGACCCATGGGCTTTCATGACATCCTGAAATTTGAATTTCAGGAAGAGAAAATTATATTTTTTTCTTTATTATTCAAACAACATATAATTATGGGAAGTATTTTAAAGTACCATGTTGCTCATTTATTTGTTGATATGACTTTAGTTAAGAAGGAACGTATGTAGTTATAATCAACAAAATGTGGCTAGCAGTGGCCCTTGGGCTTCATCAGCCTAATACGAAACACTAAAAACTACCTTACAAAATAATTTCTCCAGGGAGCCAGGTTGAAGAATGGAGGTGCCAGGGCCTGTTTTATAATTGATACTCACCTAAGTGTTGGATTTATAAGACCTGGCAGTAGGCCAGCAGGTGGCTGGCAGTAGAATTTAGCTGGGAAAAGGCAGGTTGTGGATTAATATTGTCAAAGTCAGAAAAGCACGGTGCAAGACAAGCTGAGAGAGTTGGTCATCACGCGGAAAAAATACCTTCAGAAATTAAGTCAGAGCTTTGGACTGAGAAATCAATGCCTTTCATAGTACCTTGAACAAAAAGTTGCTCAGACAATTCTTAAATCCATATCTTAAGGTATTTTTGTTCATCTGCCACCTCCTTCTGTATCTTCTCCTCCTACTCCTCCTCCTCCTCTTCCCCTCCCCTCCCCTTACATTTTATCCTTTGTGTATTCTAAGAGCTCCAGTCCTACCTAGAAAGCTCTGTAATTCTGGTGACCAAAGATCCCCAGTCTCAAGCTGGACGAAGGCCCGGCTTTGAGTACACACGTTTGAAGGAATTTCTGGACAAAATGTGGAGAGAGAGAAGAGAGAGTGGGAATACATTTTATAAGACAGAATCTGGGAAAAATTTTAGGGGTTCTGTCTTTCCATGTATATTAAATTTTGTAGTTGCCTTGCTCAAATTTCACAGTAGATTTTCTGAAGTTTGCATTCATCCTTGCTCAAATGGATTTGAGTTAGTTAGTTGAGAGTTGGCTGGAATAGACAGAGAAAGAGATGGACCAAGCAAGATATATGGTCTGAAGAGGAAATAATACGATGGGTAAGTAATGTAGGGGATGGGGGAACCCTTGATGGGCTTCAATGATTGGGAAAGGACTTTGGTTTTTTTGGATCACGGACAATACAAAACTCAGGATAGTCTCACCCCAACTCTAACATGCGGAGATATTTGAAATTCACTATGAAAAGAGAATATACTTTTAGTTGGACATCAAAGGCTGGAGTCCTTGAATGCGCTCTTAAATGAATGAATTCTTCTGCTGTTATTGGACTAAGTCATCTAATCTAGGCAGAGCCAGTTAATCTAAATTTTTTCATATGAAATGAAAACCTAGAAGTTATCCTTCATTCTATAACATACCTCATCCAATCCATCTACAATCGCGTTAGTTTTAAATACATGTGCTTCTCTCCATCCCCACTTCTATTTGCCTAATCTAAGCTACCCATATCTCTTTTCAGAGCAACTGCAATATTAACAGGTAACCTTACTTCTCCTACAATTCATTCTTCACAGAGTTGCCATTATTCCTTCATAAACAGAAATCAAATCTGCTACTCAAAACCTTTAATGGCTTCCCACTGCTCCTAGAATAAGACCCAAACTTTCTATCATGGCTGGAGACGCCCCATACAGGATTTAGATGCTGTTTCTGCAAACTTGCCTCAGACAATTATCTGTCTGGCTCGCTGCTCTCCAGATCAACGGAGTCCCCACTTCTGGGTCACGTTTTTCCCTGTACCTAAAATGCTCTTCACCTTGTTCTTTGAATACGTTATTCTCATCTTTTAAGTGCCCATTCAGAAGACACTTTCTACTTTATTTCCTCCATAGCATCCGTCATAGCATGAAATATCTTGTTCCTTTACATGATTATAATTTGTCTTTCCATGCTAAAATTTAAGCTCTAGGAGGGAGGGGTTCATAAGACTTCTTCCCTAAGAAGAATACCTGCCATGTCGTTGATACTCAGCTAACGCTTGTCGAATAAATTCTTATAAGGTGGCATCTTTCCATGAGCACCCACCTTTTGACACAACTTCCAATTTCTGTATGCAGGCAAATGGTCCATCTGAAATTGAGGCACATAGGGAATAATTAGCAGATGTAGACTGTGACCCAGAACTGGAGGTCTAAATTCTTTCTTAGAGTAAAATTATCTTCAGCAAAAGAAATCCTTAAAGGAACTATGTTGAATGGCAGAGGAAGCTGAGGTTCTGAGTATTTTGGAGGAGCTGTGTTCTGATGAGACATCCCTGGAGATATCAGTGAGGTTCCTGGAAAGAGCGTAGTTAAGGATACCACAAATAGGCCAGTTGTGGGAGGGCCATCCTTGGCATCTTACAATTTGTTCTTTCTCTCTTGTGCTGTAGCAACTTCTCTGCAATAGGATGCAGTGGGATTATTACTGTTAAGTGTTCTTAACAGAGGGGTTGGAATTGCCAAACCATACACAAAGGGAGAGAGTTCCATGACTCATCTAAATCAGTCAGTAGGAAACAGAAACTCAAGAACGACTTTCTTGAGTGTTTAGTGAATTTTGAGTAGCTGCTCAATTGTTCTAGATTTTGAACTTTTTAATTTTTTTTAAGAGACAGGATCTCGCTCTGTCACCTAGGCTGGAGGGCAGTGGGAGTGATCATGGCTCACTTCAGCCTCAACCTTCCTAGGCTCAAGCAGTCCTCCCACCTCAGCCTCCCACATACCCAGGAATACAAGTGCATGCCACCATGCCTGGCTTTTTATATTTTAATTTTTATTTTTTGTAGAGAGAGAATCTCATTATATTGCCCAGGCTGGTCTCCAGCCCCTGAGCTCAAGCAGTCCTCCAGCCTCAGCCTCCCAAAATGTTGGGATTACAGGCATGAGCCACTGTGCCCGGCCTGAACTTTCAATGCATATACTTTAAATGGATTTCTCACTTATAAGCATTCTCAGACAGGAACTTTTCTAAACAAACATTTAAAATAACACTTTCAGATTTACAGAGTTATTGCACATGTAGTTCCCATATTCCCACATTCAGCTTCCCCTCGTTAGTATAGTAATTTCATTACTATTAATGAGCCAATAGGGAAATATTTCTATTAATTTAAGGCCATACTTTATTCAGATTTCCTCTGTATTTCTTAATGGCCCTTATCTGTCCCAGGATCCCATGATGGGTACCACATTGCATTTAGGCATCACGTCCCCTGAGCTTCTCTTGCCTGTGACAGTTTGAGTCTTTGTTTTTGATGACCTTGGCAGGTTTGAGGAGCGCTGGTCAGATATGTTGTAGAATGTCTCACTATGGGGATTCAGCTAATGTTTTCCTCATGACTAGACTGGGATAATGTGTGTCTGGGAGGAAGACCACAGGGCTAAAGTGATCTTTTCATGATATAGAAAGGGCATGTGCTACCAACATGACATGTTGTTGGTGTCAGCTTGCATGGCCTGCTGGACGCTGTGTTTGTTGAGGTCCCCCACCGCAGAGTTGCTCTTTTTCTCTCCCTGTCCGCTCTGTACTCTTTGGAAGAAAGTCACTATTCACAGCCGCACTTAAGGAGTGGGGCATGTGCTTGATCTCTGTAATGGTGGAGCAACTATATAAATCATTTAGAATTTTCTACCACCAGGGGTTTGTCGTTTCTCCCCCATCTATTTATTATTTATTTATTGAATTATGTGCTTATATCAGTACTTGTGGCCCGTTATTTTTGTTATTCGGATTATAATCCAACAGTTCTTTATTTTACTACTTTAATTCGTTGCTCCAATTGCTTCAGCTTTGGCCTCTGGGGACCCTTTCAGTTGGCTCCTGTAATAGGCCCTTGAGGTCTTCTCATCATGGCGTCTGTTCTGTCTTTGTATTCTTCTCATCATGGCGTCTATTCTGTCTTTGGCACTTCTTAGTTTCTGGCACCACTAGGATGCTCCAGATTCATTTTGTATGTTCCCCACTCCAGCCCTAGAAGCAGTCATTTCTCCCAGGAGCTTTGGTTCCTTTTATTGGAAAATGATATTAGAAACCAAGACCTGAGGGCTTGGTATTTCAAGGAGGAATTTTGATGGATAATTTGTAATATGCCCAAATAGTTGTACTTGTAAATAAAAATCTACCATGAACTATCATTTAAATGTCATCAACATTTTTATAGGTCAGCTATAGAAGTAGGAATAATTTCATCATATATTCTATAGCAACTAACTCATGTTCATTTTTGATATAAAAATCTAGGATTATGGAAAGAAAAATTAGTGACATAAGAGTTAATTTATCTTTTGGACCATTTAATGTCCATCTGCATTAATCCAACATATCAATTATTTGCCTACTTCTAAGATCTAGGACATTGTCATTTCTTTCTTTCTTTAACAATTTCCTTACTCATTTTTACACTTCAAATGAATAATGACAACAAAAATGCTTAATGTCACTAACATGGATTTTTAGAGGAATAAACGTATTAAGTTTTACTGGAATGGAAAACACTCATCTCATTATGAAGAGACAGTGTTATGTTTTTGCTTTGGTTTGTTGCTATTTATAAAATGAGACTTTATTTTTCAAAATTACTTTTGAGAATGCATGATTTATATTCTGCAATCATCTATTTGCTTTAAATAATATTGGCAATGTTTCATATTTTAACCATATCAAGTAAATTTAATTTTAAACATTGTAATAATTTTTAGTAATTTAGAAAAAGTTGAAGAACCTTTGGGTAATTACAACTTTATTTCTATTATATAGGCTCATTCAACTCCATTAACACGTTCCCTCCTTTTTAGTTTTCCCTGGTTGGTTGGTTCTTCCAATGCTGAAGAAAAATTATTTGACAATATATTACTGAGGATTCAGTGGTGAGCAAGTCATGAACATTGAACGTAGTCTGCCAGGATTACTGGATGAGTGTGAAAAATACAAAGGGAACGATAAGTGTTGGATTTTAGCCTATATATGGGACAATATAAAAGATTTGTACCCTCTGCATAAGTCAAACATTAAGCATTTTAGTTACTACTTACTTTTTCCCCAACAGAATTAAAAAGCCAGTTGGTTTGGTGTAATCTTCATAATTAAACAACTAAACCAATTGGATTACACCTGTTATTGTGTTCATTCAGGATTTATTTAGAACAAAGAAAGAAGTAATTATTCAAGGTCAAGAATCAAGAAGGCAAATGGTAAGAAAAGGTACTCTGAATTCTACTCTCTGAAAAGGAAGAAGAAAACGAACACTTCACTGAAACAGCCACAGTGCAGTTCTTGAGTGCATTTTTTATTACCTTGTGCTTAGATTTCTACAGGCATACTCCGTGTGCTGGTCACAGCTCAGGTGTCACTTCTTCCTGGAGTTCTGGACACCTGCCCCATAGTCTCATAGGTGTTCTATGGAACAAAGTCTCATAGGTGTTCTGGACATGCTTCCCATAGTTCCCTGATGTTCCCCCACCCCACCCCTACTCTGCTTCCCACATGGCACTGAGATTGTTTCTTCTTTCCATTAACCACCACGCCCCCCTCCCCATCCCATCCTCTTCATAGAGTACTCCAGTATTCATTGCATTTGCTTTTATGTTCCGAGCGTTTACTATTGCTTACAAGTGCCTATGAGGCACTTAATAAAGACATTTTTGACTAGATGAATGTTTAATTAAATAAATGAATAAGTGAGTAAAAGAATGAAGGATTTCAGCTTATTCTGGCCATGCTTGCTACAAGCCAAGTACCGATCGTATTGTGAGAGCTGACCAATGTAATCTGTGTATTGATCAATAAACATGGTTAGAAAACCGATTAAAAGTGCATTTTTAACATTTGAAATATTATTTTTATTAATATTGGAAATACTTCTCCATTGTATCTTTGCCCATTTCTTGAAGGTTTAGCAATTATAATTGAAAATATTGTGCCAATAAATTTTGATTTTACTAATTATGACACAGCTTGGACTGAAACAAAAAAATTCACCAAATATATCAATAAGCCTTCTCCTATGCCAAGCCTTCCCATTCCCCCTAACGTATGAAGGGTACATTTCACATTCCCAAAGAAAAGCATATTTCAAGCAGTTTTACATTAAGCATTTGTGTGTAAAAACCAGTTATGAATGTGTTACTGTTGGTAAATTAATGCAGACAAAGACAGGATTTTGTCTTGGCAGCTTTAGTTAAATTTAGTTGTTGTGTTACCTTAACTAGGGAGGCTGTGGTAAGTAGTGGTGGAAAGCAGATTTTCTTAGCCACCGTCTCTTGTTAGTTGCGTGACCTTGAGGAATTGCTTAGCTTATCTGGTTCTTTGTTTCTTAAACTGTAAAATCAAGTTAATGCCATCTTTATCACCTGGAGGTTGTATGTTACTAAGTATTGTAGGAAGAGCTGCCAACATAGTACTTGGAATATAATATGTCTAGTGACTGTTAGCTTTTTTCTTTGCTCTTTTCTCTAGATACACTATAAAGTAATAACACAATTATAAGATCTTTTAATTCAGCCTTTTTATTAACTCAGACTAACCCTTATTTCAATGAGTTTGAATTGGTGAGGTTTACTGACTTGCTCATGGTTTTTACAAGGACCCAGATGCTCGGTTAATTTCGTCCCTGCTAGCCTCGCTGGCATTTGTAAATTACAGTGTGTATGTGGTAGGAAAATGTCTCATGTAGAAGCTCTTTTCAGAAAATACTTGGCCATATTCCCAGGGTAAATTGCAGTCATAATGGCAATATAAAATTCTGTCTTGACCATTGAACTAGGAGTCAGGAAACTTGAAAGTGATGTCAAAGGTGTAGACTCCCTTTCTTAATCAAAGCCCAACCTTAGTCTGCCTCAGTATTTCGGAAAAGGTCATTTTTCTTTTTTTTTAAAGGAGGGTGAGGTTTATAAAGTACTTTGAACTCACTTAGGAAAGACAAATATAAACATATAAAGTTTTATTACCTTTAAAAAAAGTTCTCTTTACTCGTTAAAGGGAAGTCTTACTTTATCATTACCAGTTGACCTAGGTGAAGTTAATAAGCTGATGAAGCTCTGATTAAGGTTTTATGAGGCAATCTGTATCACTGAGCAGAGTTCACCAGGGTCCCTTCCTATTTCCTCATTCCATATTTCTCATTGCAAATTAATACTACACTTTCAGGAAACACTGCCTTTTTAAAGCCAAGGGAAAAAATTCCAGGTGCCTACCATGCAAAGCTATGCTTTATTGAATAATTCTGCACACTAGAGCCCACCAGTAGTACAGAATAATGAAAGCTATTTTAAAGATGTATTAACTCCTAATGCTATGAAATGTCCTAGAAGAATCAAATTATTCAATGGTGCATGTGTCTAAAGAACTAATGACGTGGTAGAAATAAAGAAATTGACCACTTCCTCATTGGAAAGATGAGGATTTATTTCTACTGTAACAGTTCCTTATCAGATTGCCTGTGTCCCAGATGGCAAGGAGCCATAGGATACAGTGCCTTTTTATATTTGATATGACAATATCTCCAACTCTAACATATATGTGTGTATATTTGAACATGTGAATCCACAGTGATGAAATTCTAGAATGCTCCTCTCTTGGAGACACTGCAGTGACGTCATCTCAGAGCTGGGGCAGGATTTGTCACTTCAGATGAGCAGTAAGGGAGCAGCTTGCTCAGGATATCTGAATTATTCCTGACCTGCATAATGGCCGAACATTGCAATTACTCCTCATGCGGGAACACAAAGTGAAGAGGCCATTCAAAAGGCAGCAGTGACTTCCAAATGTGGAAAAATGGGCATCTAATTAGTAGAAATGGAAAGACACTAATGTTAAATAGGTGGGACCCTAAGATTGCATTTACTGAGCACCTATTATTCACCAGAAGTTGTGCTAAGCATATGGGATTCAGTAGCAAACAAGTCGGAGATGGTTTTTGGCTTTTACGTTTCATAAAATATACAGGTGCGGGGAGAAGGCATACTGCAAGTATTACCAATTGGTAATAAGATATTGAGTGGAATTTTTTTTATTAGGGAAATGTGGCTAAAATCCAAAGTTGAGGACTATAGGAGAAAATACCTCTCATTTTCAAAATGAGAAGCATTCAGAAGCAGCCAAAAATTAGAAACAGACTTCTCCCTCCCCAGGGGCTTAATGAGGAGCTGTGGTTGGAGAAGACTTATCTGGGTGATCTTTGAATGACATCTAAGGAAGTAGGGGCTGAGCTGAGCAAGGGTACCAGGGAGCATCTTGGCAGATGGAAGAAATAGGAAGTCCATGGTCTCCGAGGCAAGAGCTTGCCTGGTGTGCTTGAAGAGCACTGAGAAGGTCAAAGTGGTGAGGGCAAAGTAAGGGCAGGCTAGCTTGAAGAAAGGCTGAGGCTGAATCATTTGGCTTTGTAAGCCATTATAAAGAATCTACCTTTTACCTGGAGTGAGATGGGGAGCAGCCATTTAAGGGTTTTGAGCAGAGAGGTGATGTGACCTATCTTCCATTATCACAGGATTACCCTGTTTATTAAGGAGAGACTGTAGGGGCCAAAGATGGCAATGGCAGCTCAGTTAGAAGGCTATTGCAAGAGCCTAGGAGACACCATGATGCTGATTGGCCTTTAGGCCTATCTCAACTGGGACAAGAGAATTGAGGTGTGGTGGGAGTGGAGCAGGCTGCATGACCAATATTTGGTGATATGGGAAGGATACATAAGTTTCCAACAAGTGACATGGACACAGCAATCTTAGTTGATACTGAACATCACCAATCCCTACTCCCAGGAAGGTCACCTGGTGGGTCGGGAAGCCTCAGCGGCAAGAGGCTGCAGATGAACCACTGCCCAGCCCCGACTGTTGAGTGGTGCAGCCAGAGTGGGGACATCCCGGGACTGTGACATCCGGAGACTCTTTTTGGCTACTTAAGACATCCACACACAGACTCCATGAGAACACTGCGTTTGAAGTCATGTTACCCAAAAGACATGAACCGCTGCATAGGGTTAGCCAGGGAGGCTGAAATTACCAGCAAGCAGGGTGCTAGAGCTATGGCTGTGCAGAAAGAAAGGCTCACCCTCCTTTCTGGCCACAGCCTCCAGAAGAGCTGGAGCCTGGAGAAGAGAGGAGGGAAGTTTTGAATCAGATATAAAATCGGAAGTTACAAGGACTGTTCTGAGTTTGAGTGCCTGAAAAGCTATGGGACCTGCCTAAGATATCATTCACAGCCTGGAGAGGAAGATGCAACAGGGCCAGGTGGAGAAACAGTGAACGGCGGGTGGAGGGGGTTCTTTACTGACTCCAGCGGGGTTTCTGCCCTGAAATAAACTGTGTGGTAAATGCCATGAAGGAGCATTGCCAGGTACTCTGGGAACACAGCTCAAGAAATCTTTCCTTCTCTGGGCAGTCCGGAAAGTTTTCCTGAGAAATCAACACCTAGGCTCAGACCAGTCATAGCAGACATTACTCATAGCAGGCATCACAGGAAAGCACATTCAGGAACAGCCAAGCTAAAGGTACGAAGGCAGGGAAACAAAGGTATTTTTCTGTGGGGGGGGGGAAGACCTCAGGGAAAGTCTCCATCCACTGTAAAGACAACATGACCACCAAAGGAACTAAAATGTCTTAGTTTAAAATGCTGCCTTCATCACTGTGCTTAGAAATTGGCTGGTAAATGTATTTGACCACTTTGGACAAGTCAAACTCTCCTTGTTTATGTTCTATACCAATTTAGAAAAATCTTCCTTATAACTCCAAACATCCTGAATGCAATTGTTTTTTTTTTTTTTTTGAGGTGGAGTCTCAGTCTTGCTCTGTTGCCCAGGCTGGAGTGCAATGGTGTGATCCTGACCTTGTGATCCACCCACCTCGGCTTCCCAAAGTGCTGGGATTACAGGCATGAGCCACTGCACCCGGCCTTGAATGCAGTTCTTTTATAAGTCTGTTTTGTGTCTATAATTTTGTTTTCAAGTTACAATTAACCACTTAGTTCTCCCTAGTCTTTGTGTGAATCTCAGAATGACTTGGAGTATTCACTAGATTCACTGAGATCCAATTGCATTAATTGTGTTCCAGAGGTGTGGGTTATGTTTTAGATTTTAATAGAGGGTTTTATCTCTATAAATGATAATAGCACTGGTTAAAGTTGTCAGTGATAATGGGGAACCCAAGATGGGAGTTTATGCCAATGGATCCAATAAGACAGAGTTTGGAAAGGAGGTGGAAGTGAGAAAGACTGGATCTGAAAGAAGGTCTACGTCAGAAAACTAATGAAAGTTTTTTTTTTTTTTAATTTAAAGGCAGGGGTATAGGCATGCAATAAAATGGCTCTGAAAATAGTTTAAAAATGTATTTTGGATTTGGCAGTAGCTTACATCTGTCTCGTGCCTAGTGTTGAGGGATTCTTTGGAGAAGAAAAGAGGGTATGGAGAGGGAAGGAGACCCCAGTGGAAGATCGTATGCCCAATAACGGGTGTTGGGGGCTTCTTTTTCCCTTCTAAGGGGCCTATTACCTAGAAAACCAATCCATCCTTAAGGGACCAAGAGAAGGTATGGAAACACATGTTGTTGTTGAGAACATAAAGGTGAATGTTGACCTTCTGTCCACCTCTTCTTCCCCAGAGGGTGACTGATCATCCACTGCACCCAGGAGAAGCATTTGTGCATGAATGAGTGAACTCTTTTGTATTAAAAGTGATGATGGTGGCGGTACTGTGACACAATAGGTCAGTGGCCTGTAAATTCTTCAGTTCTGAGCAGGGCTTCTGGCTTGCAATGCCCCTTCTTTTTGACCCAGTATGCTGGGCTAAACCATAAGGGTTACATTTATTTCCTCACTATAGACACCAGAGCAGGCTTTGAGTAGCTGGATCCTTGCTTCTTCCCCTCCCGGTCCTGCCCTAATAATTGAGTTCTCCAGGAGCAAAGAGACTTTATTAGGAAAGATTACCGCTAGTCTCAGTGCTTTCCCCAAAACCCCGGGTAGAAAAGCCATGTCTTCACGTTTGTAAAATGCTGTTAGTAGTTTACGTTTATAAAGGGGTTATAGAGAGAATTTTGAAAACATTTCACAGTCTTAAACAAATCCTTTTAATACCTAAAAACAATTTTAAGAAAATCATCAAAAAGGGTTTTATATACAGAATTCTCAGAATGCATAATAAGATGCTGAAAATAAATGTTATTCTATAAATGAAACAAACAATATCATAAGAGTTAGGTTAAATATTGTAGTACTCAAAAAACTATATAGCCATTTATGGTCATTCTTGTAAAATAAAAGCTACTAGGATATAAAATAGAAATGTCCTCTCCTCTTTGGTGGTTTCATAAAGCTCTGAAATATTTAACAGGACTGATTTCTAATTCCTTTACTTTTTAAAATAGGGGCACACTCAGAAAGACTTGATACAAGTATAAGATATACTCAAATAGGGTGTTTTGTTCCAAAATTTATAACTCCAACCAGAACCTGTTCCCTCCAGAACGAAACGCCATTTGCTATTGAACATTTTCCATTTGTATGGCTCTTTGGCACCTAAAACTCACCATGTTAAAAATGGACCCCAGTTATGCCTTATTTCAGGAGATGGCATGATGAATCACCTTCAAGCCAGGAATCTCAATGTCATTCTCAACCCCTCCTTATTTTTTACCTCCCGCACCCAACTACTGTACATCCTGCTTCCTAAATCTGGCAGGGTCCTAATCCTGGAAGCAAAAATTCTCATTGTAACTGTGATAAAAGTCTACATCTTAGTCCTAAAGCCCAATTTTGCCCTCCTCCATTTAGATCTTCTTTAGGGGTAATGTTTTTGATGCATTTCATACACGTGGCTTTCCATTTCTTTCAGGATAAAATGACACATCTGTAATGATGTGTATAAAACCCAGCCGGTGGGACCCCACTTTCTTTCCCAGACACGCTCTACTTCTATTATAACACATTTTTCTGTGCTACTTCAAAGACATAATGGCTTTCTTTCTGCAATATTTTTCTCCCCATCTAATTCTGCTAATCAGCTAGCCAACTCCCACTCCTGCTCAGAGACACCTGGGGATGGTTGTGCGAAGCGAGCCCTGCAACTGCAGGGGTGAGCCACATATTGACATCATGGTCTAAGTGCACGGTACCTCCCAGATTTGAGAACTAAGCACCAGCACTGCAGTACTGACAACTCTGCTCCGCCCTTCAGTTTTCTGCTTAAGCAGCAGTGCCTCAGGGAAGCCTTCTGCACACTCCCTTTCCCCAGTCCCGTGTACACACATTTACACACACTTGGTTAGATCTTGCGTTTTATATTTCCACAGCATCCTGGGCTTCTCCTTTACAGCATTGAACATTTGTAATTATTTGTTTAATGTCTTTCTTCTCCATTATACTGAAAGCCCCATAAAGTAAGAATCCCAGCTGTCTTGTTTGCTGTATTCCCAGAGCTTTCCACAGTGTCTAGAACTAGTAGGTGTTCAATAAATAATTCGTTACAGTTCATACCCTATGTGTAAACTCCTAATTTAAAAATATAATGTCATGGAGCCTTAATCACCCTGCCTTCCAGAGGGTAGAAAGAACATGAGATGAACAAAACCAACAGAAACAGACTCTGGGATACTTATGCATAAGTCCCCTGATATGTGGATAGTTGTCATAGCACCAAAGCTAAGCCAAGAATTGAGGAAGACAGAGATTTTATCTGGCAACTTTGTCGTTGGGGTTCACTCCTGCACTCAACTTTTATGTATTTATTTTTTTCACTGCTCAGATGATCATCGTGAGTTTCTGTCTGTTTTCCCCCTTCCTTGCTCTATAATTTGAACCACTTTTATTCTGTGGGTCAGTTAAAGTTAAAGTCACTCTGGTTCTGATTGCTATCTAATCCACAGGGCAGAAAATAACCACATGACATTTACACATGTAATTGAAGGAGAAATTGATGGTTATTTGGAATGTAATAAAAATTGATGCTAATAGTCATTCATTATGGATAAAAAGGCATGATACACTCTCAAAGTCACTAAGAATGGTATCAGAGTAAGACAAACAATTAGGGCTGACATTAAAAAAAAGGAAGTAGCAGAAACCAACTTCTAATTTGTGAAACACAGAACTGGTGCAGGTGTCAGCTTCCAAAGGCCTTATGAGGAGAATCATAACTAGAACTTCTTAGATCAGTTCATGTTTTCAGAAACACATGACCCACGTACATACATGCACATGCACGCACACACATACAACACATTTACTCCTCCAACGAATACGACAGTTAAAGAGGCAATATCTTTGTTGTTGAATCAACATCCATTAAAGATTAGTTTTATTTTTATGGCTATGCCTGTTTGGAGGATTACATGTCTACAGAATTTGAAAAGGAAGATGCATATTTTCCATATTATGCACTGAGGGTCCCCTTAAAACTCATTAAGAGTTGCTTGAATTCACAAATTCTACGACTGTTAGCAATGGGGGGAAAAATGCTTTGTATGTTCTGCCAGCAGGATCTACCTTAGGACCAGCTTGATTTGTTAGGGTGAATATTAGTTACCTGTAACTCATGCATTGCAACTCATCTACACCTGTAACTCTTGTTTCTCTTCTTAAGACATATCAGTGAGAACTCAACTTTGCTGCTTTGCTTTATGTAGGAAAGGCTGGCCACCTCCACGCGCTGATGGCTACTAATGAGAGATCACTTCCTAAGATCATTACTTGAAATAAGTTCCCTTGTAAAAATTAATCTATTGGTGCCACATAATGCAAAATTTCAATTATTCATTCATCTTATTTATTACCCTGTATGTAGGGCTTTTAAGCATCTCACTGTCCTGACTTCAGAATGCATGTTTTTTTATGATCACTGAGAAAGAAATAATAGTTTAATATGTCTCTTCTCTGACACTTAAAATGTTACTTTTTAAAAAGTGCTCTTTCATTTGGAGCATAAATTAAAATGTAATTGTACACAGTTATTATTCCAGTTCACCAGAATAATAAAGAGAGTTAAGAGAAGAGCCAAACTTTATGATTTCCAAACGCTCCTGTATGTGTCCTATTCTTACTTAGTTTCTCTTTGTTTCATGACACACTTGGAATGACTTTGGTCTTTTCTTAAGGCCACATAGGAAGTTTGTATTTTAGAGCAAGGGATCTCTGCTTATGGACAACCTCATCAAAGAGTTCAGTCCAATTCTGCTTAATTCAACAAATATTTTCCAAGTACCTAGTGTGTACATAGCACCGTGCCTATTGAACTCTGGCTGAAAGTAGCCATCTCGCGAATGTTTGCCCCTGGCCACAAGGGAGGCTAAAGTGGCCAATGAGTGGCTGAGTGTAAATGCAATACTTGTGGCCTCATGTTATCTGGTCAGTAAGTGGTATCTTTATTTCCAAGTGCAGCTCATTAACAGCACCTATTTATCTGGTGTCATTAGGAATAATTTATATTATAATGGGGTGAATAACAACCCCCCACCCCACGTGATTGTAGTTATCTTAGGCTGTCAGTTGTAAGTTCTCATGTCTCCTGAAAGGATTTATGCCTGTAGTATTTACATTACCCACATCTATTTCCCTTGAGTTTTCTGTTTGAAGTTAATCCTTCTTACTGAAGAGAATGGAAGCAAAACATGAATTGAGCAGCTCTTCCTTCTCTGTTTTCTGTTAACACTACACTGTCATCGCCCAAGAGCAGTTCTCTCATTTCCTTCTGGATTCTAGATCTAAACAGATGGGAAGGCAGACCCTTTTTCCTTGTCTGTACCATTTCTCATTCATTTTTGCTCATGCCTTTGGACATGTAGGAGAGGTACTGCTGGGGAGGAATAAGGGGAGCAGAAGCTCCACTGCACTAACAGCTGGAAGATCTGGCTTCTAATCCCCACACTGCCTTTCCCAGCAGTAGAGCATTGGGCAAGATGTTTTAACCCTTTTGAGCCTCAGTTTTTTCACCTGTGAAATGGGTTCAATAATCTCCACTGTGCCTTCCTCACAGATAGGAAAATATAAATAAAAGCTCTTTAAACATTTTAAAGTATACTAATCTTATTTATGCTACTCATATACTGTTAAATATAGACATATATTTATATCAACTATATATATGCCTGCAGATATGTGTGTGTATATACACGTGTGTGTGTGTGTATGTGTGTGTGTGTTTGGTTATCAGCCCTTCATTCCACATTTCTGCCTTTTTCTTCCTTATGAGCAGCCTCTCAGGGAAGGAACCTGAGCAGCGTGTATGCACACTTGCACTAGGGGGCAGCATTGCACAGTGGTGGAGAGTGCAGGCTTTGCAGCCAGGCTTTCTGGGATGGAATTCCACCTCCTCGGTGAAATACTTGGGAAAGTGACTTAACCTCCCTCAGCCTCACTTTCCTTATTTGTAAAATGAGGTGAATAATTCAACCTACCTCGTAGGATTGTTATGAGGATTAAATGATTTAATGCCCATAAAGCACTTCAAATTGTGACACTAGTAAGAAGGCAACAAGTCTTAGCTATTCTTAGTGTTGTTACAGAGCAAAAAGTCAATAATTTAGCTCTTCCTGTGCTTTGCGAGTCTCATTTACAAGAGAAGGTCGTAATTCTTATCTCTAAATCTCTTCAATTTTGTTCACTCGAAGACTATAGTGTCACAGCACTGTGCTAGAGGGTCTGTTTTGTAGTTATCAAGATAGAACTTATAATACTTAATTTTCTTTCTTTAGGATCAAAATAATAATTTTATGCTACTACTTGATCTGAAAGTCATTGATTATAAAGAGTCCTGTGTAGAAACTAGATAGCTTTATTTTTAAATGCCATATTGGGTGGGGTATATACCAAAAAGTAAACGTCCAATATACAAATATGTATATTAAGTATCTATTTTATAAAAATAGAAAATTTTAAATCACAGAATGTTTTCATTTGACAAAATAATTTCATTTCTGTTTTTTTTCCTAAAGGTAATCAGAGATGTATGTAAGGATTTACGCCTTACACAGAGAATTTTATCCTCCTTTAACCCCCCCTTTTAAAAAATTGTTTTAAAAAAGTAAACAATTTTTAGTACACTGTGGTACATCCATACAATGGAGTATTGTTCAGCCATTAATATATTTTTAAAGAACATTTAACAACTCAGAAGTATAAGTTTAAATGAAAGAAGAGGTAATTTACAAACTGCTTTATAGAGTAAAATGTCAAATGTGTGTACATATATTACATTAAACGAAAAAAAAGACTACAAGCAAATGTAACACAATGTAAAATACAATTTTCTTGGTGGGAGAATTATGAATGTTTCTATTATTATTTTATTCTGAAGATGAATACACACTTTCATATATACATATGTATTTATACTTGTGTTTTTCAAATTTTCATTCTATTATCCTTTTATATTAAAAAAAAAAAAAAACAAAACCTGGCTGGGCATGGTGGCTTGAGGTCAGGAGTTCGAGACCAGCCTGGCCATGGCCAAACCCCGTTTCTACTAAAAATACAAAAATTAGCCAGGCGTGGTGGCTTGTGCCTGTAATCCCTGCTGCTTGGGAGGCTGAGGCAGGAGAATCACTTGAACCTGGCAGGCAGAGGTTGCAGAGAGCCGAGATCAAGCCACTGCACTCCAGCCTGGGTGACAAAGCGAGACTCTGTCTCAAAACAAAACAAAACAAAACAAAAACAAATAAAAACACCCAAAAACCTGATACTAAATATCTCAACTTTTTAGCTCATTATGTCTTCAGATAGGTAAAACAAAATGCTTTACTGGGAATCCATTTACAAAAAGTCATTAAAAATAGTCTAATTAAAAGTTAAAAACTTTCAAAATCATTCATCTGTGAAATCACATTTAATGTTTTCCAGACATACAAAAGACATTCATGAAAACAGTTTGTAGATTGGAACTGTTTTGCAATTGTGGACCTAGCAGCTGGTCTCTGTGCAAACACAACAGCACTGACTGGTCGCACAGGGGGCCAGAGGAGTGAGCTTCAGCAGGGTGGCTGCAAGGACCCAGGGCTAAGTCACTGAGCAAGGAGGACCAAGTTGGGAAGGGCCGTAGGATCAAGACAGAGACAGCACTTGGCCATGAACTTTATCTCCTAACTGAACTATAAGGACACTAAAATGTTTTTACTACTACTCGAAAGAGAGGTCACAGACAAATTGAGTCAGAGACTGATAGAGAGAGAGAAGCTCGGAGAAAAAGGGAGACAGACACATTCTGGAGAGAAATTTAGAGGAAGACAGAAGAAATTAACTGCTATTAATCTATACACAGCTCTCTCTCTAATAGTCTCAATTCCTCTTAACCAATCCTATAGTTATAAAGTCCCAATTACAAATGACAAGAATCACCACCACCATCACCACCATCACTACCACCACTACTACCACAAAAAAATCTCAAAACATTGTTAAGAGTAAGTGCCCTCGAAGAGTGCAAAGGACCAGAGCATGCACCTACTATGGCACCCCAGATGGATAGATAAGATGAACCCCTTAATCAATGACAATTGAGCAAAACCTACTCCTACTCCTGTTTGGCTGAGCTTTACATTTCAATCACGTTATAAAACTTCCAATCTCTCCTGGCTACAACTTAAGCAGATACAGTGAAGTGAAATTTATACTCGAAGGAAAAAGGCCACACTGCTTTGCTTGTCAAATATGGGTTTGACAGGGTCAAAATACAAAGCTGGTAGATTTTACATTTTGTAGATTTTGAGGTCTTCATTCCTCACTCGCTACTTTGCTGGTTTTTTTTTTTTAATTTGGATTCTTTTGTTAAAAATTATAAAGCAAAAGTGATTAAATTCCATAGAACTCGTCTTCTTAGAAGGTTGAAAGAATGATTTCCTTCAACCAGAGAAATGGGCCAATCGTTTAAATTCACGATTATGCCAGAGGAAAATAACAGTGAAACATTCCATACTCCAATGTCTGTTTCCTTGAAATTGTTAGAGTCATACTGCTAGTGAATATTTTGGTTTACAACTGTCTGGGAAAGCTGAATGAGAGATTCTAGAAAACGTGCTTCTCTCAAACCTTCTGTATTTACATTATTTGGTTAAGATCTATTGTGCTTTGCTTTCCTCCACTGGAAAAAAATCAGCCCAGGCAAGGGCTGACATTTCCTTAGCAGGCTGGAGCACCACACCACTTAATTACCCACAGGGAGATGTGAGAAGTAGCGCGTGCAAAGTTTAGTTCTGCCTGAGGGCACTCACCCAGCTGCCCTCATTAGTATGTGGTAAGAAAACCTGCCACCCCACAGCTCTTGACTGCTACATTTGAGAAAAGGAGATTTGTATTCAATAAGCTGGTCAACCCCAATTTTGTTCTAAAATGTCTATACAATAGAAACATTCTAGTTATACAAAAACAAAAAAACACAGGGGGAAAAGGTAACAGGCAAAGGGTTATTACAGAGGAGCAAACCATCAGGATTTCTTGACATAAATATTCCATAACATTAGGAAGAATGATACACAATTGAGGTCTACCGAGTGAACCCTGGCAATTAATCTCTACTCAGTTAGCAGCTCCTCAGCCCCTTCAAAAGTCAGGGGGAGATATGATTTGAAAGCTTCACTTTTTGCCCTCTGTTCTTCTGCATTCCTTTTTTTTTTTTTTTTTTTTTGAAACAGGGTCTTGCTCTACCGCCCAGGCTGGAGTGTAGTGGCGTGATCTCGGCTCACTGCAACCTCCACTTCCTGGGTTCAAATGATTCTCCAGCATAGCTGGACCACAGGTGTCTGCTACCACACCTGGCTAATTTTTGTGTTTTTGGTAGAGACGGGGTTTCACCATGTTGGCTGAGCTGATCTGGAACTCTTGGCCTCAAGTGATCCACCTGCCTCGGCCTCCCAAGGTGCCGGAATTACAGGTGTGAGCCACCTACCGTGGCTGGCCCCTCTTCTGCATTCTTAATTAGCACTGACCTGTCAAACTTTCGATATTCTGTTTTTAAAAAACTGCTTAAAAATCTGCATTAAACAATAGGTTCATGTTTGAACCATAAATGTCGTATAATCAAGCAATTTCTTCTAATCATCTGGTGTTAGGGAAATACATTTTTAGCTCCCAGTGAGAGTCATGTGCATACTTAAAGCTTGGCAAACCACAATGAAAACTTCTAAGCCTTCAAGACTTGCCAGGGATTGAGGGTGCGTGGTCCGAGGAGAGGGACTGGCTGAAAGGAACCGCGCAAAATTCTGACCTATAGGCTTTCCTCTTTTCCTCCCCCTCACTTCCCATCTACTCTTTACCCCCTACCTGGTAAACCAACCTCCAAGCACAGAAAACAAAACAGAACGGATTAATGGCCCCTGTTCTGTTTCATTATTTATGCCCTTCTCATGTACCACACTAACCAAGGGATGCTCTTTGATGATTATATCTCCAAAGAACATTACTGTGATCATGGTATGTGCTGGGGAACCATAGATAATTAATCAGTCAAACTGAGAGATACAGATAAGAATAACTTCTGGATTTTGTAAAAGTAAATTTAATGCATAAAACCTGCTAGGAACTGATTAATCAAATAGCCTCTTTACTCATAGTTAAATCAGGGCATATACCACAGCTGGCTGCAGACCCATGCCTGCATCCCAAAGACACGGAGTTCGCTTTTGCTTCATTTAAGCCTTTCGTGTCAATTCCAATAGCAAAGGTATTTGCTAAAGAGGTTTGGCCGGTATGGAAGTTTTTGTTATCCTAATCAATCCATTAGGAAATAAGCAACCAACTTATTTGACGTAGTATTTTCTACTCGCCTTGTGAGAAATTGGTGAGTCATTGTCCCATCCACATTTCTATTTGTGGAGGTGAAAAAAATTCCATACTCCTACACCACCCCCAAAACCACGGAAATCACGGGAAGTGCTGCTCCCCCACATTTTCACAGGTTAATCTTTATAAAGAAAAATTTGCATGATTTCCATGTTAGTGTTTCGTGGATTATAAAGAAGCTAGTCACCTTTGTCTTCTATAACAGCGAGCCACGTAGAATTCTGTGAGTGTAAGATGGAGAGGAAAAAGGAAGAGAGAATTGAATGGCCTTTTGTTTCTTAAAAAAAAGGAAACCAACAAAGACTTGTTTCCTTTTCCCTTTTTGTCAAATGAAAGCTCTTCAGAGATGATTGAGCTCTTGTATGCTACTGTTTGAATCCTGTAGGATGGTTTTCTGTGTAGCTTTGCTCTAAGTACACCAAAGGACGCAGATACTTCTGAAGGTTAAAACTACTTTGTGGCGCATAGGAGACCTGTCTGAAGATTTCTGATCCTTGAGAGAAGAACATCATACTCTCCTCTTGGTTAGAGCTTGCTTTAAGGAAACACATTTGGATGCCAGTTTATCAATTTGCTGTAGAAGGGGAGGGCCAGGGACATTTGGGAACAGGTAAATCAAGTTCCAGAAGTATCTGAAGAAAAGTGACACCCAGAGAATGTACAATCCCATTTTCTGATGGTTCAGGCTTGTTTGCCACTGAGATAGCCTTGACAACGGAATGAGGGCTGAGTTTTTATTTCTAGTCCTTTCACTGTCCCTGACCCTCCCTGGCTGTCTCACTTTGGTCTTCATCTTACCCCTGGAAAACTTTTTTTTTTTTTTAATTTTAAAATGTTTTATTTCATAGCTCATAAAAAAGTTTGCATGAAATAGACTCAAGTAAATAGAAAGGCAGCTTTCAATCACAAATCAGATAGTAGTTTTTCAAACTCTACTGTGGAAGCATATTTAACGCACTCATTTGAATGTTACGCATAAATAATTTTAACTATGCAGTCCAAGTTCTGGGTTTTATATTAGATCTGCATATATAAAAGACGCTTGTGGTCAAATGTTGAGATTGGTAAAGCCAATTTCAAGCTGCTTATATATTGAGTACAGGCTTCACTAGTACAAATACATGATGTTAAACTAACAAAATAGTGACCTTCAAAGATGTCTTTGTCCCATGCTCATACATTTGTAATCTGAGTCCGTTTGCGATTTCCCTTCTTCTACAATCTTCAAATTATAGGACTGATGCATTGAGTTCCCTATGCATCCTACCCATCTCCTTTATCTCAGCCTTCTCATACTTTGCCATTCTCTTCTTTCTGGAAATAACCAGCACAACAATTCCAGCAACAACTGCTATCATCACAACCACAATAACAGCACAAACACCAGCTTTTAGAGCCTGCATTGAAAATTCAGGTGCATTTCTATCAACATAATAAATTAAAGTTTGACCAGGATCCAGATCCAGTTGTTCTCCATTTACTCTCAGGTCCATTTTCTTAGAAGAATGAAACAAGGATTCACCTTTAACATCTTTTTCAAAATAATGAGCCACATCAGCTATGTCCACATCATTCTGCATTTTGGTTCTGAAAACTATGGCTACAACATAGTTGGAGACCTCAAGAAGAATAGATGCTGGATTTGTCTATCTATTTCTCCAAATTTACTGGCTTTTTAATATCAGTTCAATGCTACAAGAAATATCAAATCCTTACATTTCTAACCTTAATGAAAGACATATCACCACAGTCTTTCTAATAATCACCATTTCTAAAAGCAAGATGTTTAGAAAAAAGGTTGGAGGCTCTTTCTGGAGGATCTGCTTGGTGAATCAGGGTGTAACAGAATGATTTTCATAAGATCATTCTAATCATGTCAGAACATTTTAGAAGCTTGAGAACAGATAATAAAAGTAACCTCTCTCTTTGACCAGGTGTACAAGCACAAAATGTCTTCAGCTTTAAAGAGTACTGTTATGATTTTTGAAAGATCTTCTCATTGATGTGAAATTTTGTTGAGTATAACATGGTGATATTTTAAGTATAATGATGTATCTGCTCTATACATAGCACCCAGCCTGAGTAATACACTCTCTCCACATTAGCTTCTTCTTTTTTTTTTTTTTTTTTTTTTTTTTTTTTGAGACGGAGTCTCGCTCTGTTGCCCAGGCTGGAGTGCAGTGACGTGATCTCGGCTCACTGCAAGCTCTGCCTCCCGCGTTCACGCCATTCTCCTGCCTCAGCCTCCCGAGTAGCTGGGACTACAGGCGCCCGCCACCGTGCCTGGCTAATTTTTTATTTTTTTTTTAAATTAGAGACGGGGTTTCACCGCGTTAGCCAGGATGGTCTCGATCTCCTGACCTCGTGATCTGCCCGTCTTGGCCTTCCAAAGTGCTGGGATTACAGGCATGAGCCACCACACCCGGCCCACATTGGCTTCTTAAGTGACTTTAGCAGATGCAGATAGAATGGACCATTTCATACATGCTTGGTAATGACTGACATGTGGGAAGAAGGGAGGAGAATTGCAAGCAAAGCATGGCAGTGCTGAGGGAGGAAGGGAGGGAGTAGCTTGTATTTATAGTTAGAGACTAGTGTATTGATGGGGATAGTCAAAGTGGTTCCAGTGCTTAAAGATATTGTTGTACACAATATAATCTTTTATCCTTGAGTTACGATTACGCATGTCAAGACAGTCTATATCCTTCAGTAGAGGAAACAATACAAAGCAAAACGGGAAACTTCTGTATAAAATCGATCATTCATTACACATCTCATCAAAATAGCTTCACATTTCACCTTTCCAAGTAAACTGTTTCAAGTAACCTTACTGCAAGCCATTTTTGTACACCAGACCACACTTACAAAGCTTATATATTTAACAAGAACTAAAGAAAGCTAATGGCATCGGTAAGAGTTATTTTTGCTCAGAGCAGCTCATAACAAAGAGCGAGGAACCTCATCTGAATGAAGAAGCTGCCATGCTCCTCCAGGATGCAATCCACCTGAATCTTACAGGATGTGGTTCAAGTGTTGTAGAAGGTGCTCAAGAGACAGGGCGCCAGGGTCTCAGATGTAAAGAGCTGAATCTTGCTTTAGCCCATGGCTGCTCAAATTAAGCCTTTTGATTTAATCTGAAGTATTCAGAGAAAAAGCCCTGGTGGTATCAGCTTCCCATTGAGGAGAGCTGTATTGCTGAGTGGCTGAGAGCTCTGGGGAGACCTACACGCAACAGAGGAACACATGTGGCATGCCCTCTGGGATTTTCTCTTTTCTAGATGTTAATGAAGATTAAAGTGTAAGAAAGTGCAGGCATCAGTGGAACAGATAATTAATGATGATTGATGATTTACTTTTAATTTATGCCACATGATTAATTCAGGTAAAACATGCAGATGCTTGGAACTTCTGGGGTCGTGAAATTGTTGAGCGTTCAACATGGACAGACAAGAGTCTACACCAAAGCCTGCATTTGGTGCCTGATATTATCCATATCTTCATTTTCATTAGGTAGATACTGAAAGAGAAAGCTCCATCTGTTCAAAAGAAAAGACTTTTCTTTTTCTTTCAGGATTGATTTTTTTTCACCTCTGCTATTCTTTTATTTCCTGAAAACCTTTGCTCCTTTCTTGGGCAAAGCTATTTAAGTGGTTTTCGTGGTTATTTCCTTACAAAAACTAGAGGTTTTTTTGTTTGTTTTATTTTGTTTTGTTTTGTTTGAGGCATAGTTACTTGCCTAATTGTTACAAAACTGTCTTTCAGTCATGTGCCTTTCAATCTCCTTAGAGATATATGTACACATGCACGCACACACACACATACACACACACACGCAGGTACCCCATGACAGTTGCAAAGGTGAAAGAGTGAGAGCAGTATCTCCTGGACAGAAATATTCCAAAATTCAGGCCATCAATCCAGCAGAAGGAATCACATCAGCATTTTCTCCCTTCTGCCAGGGCGGCACGGCTTCCCACGGTGCAGGATGCTACTGTACTGTGCAGAAGTGGTGTGTCAGTGCCACATCAAATGATAAGGCTGTTTACAAGTGGTAAATTTAAGGCCTTTATGGCTTCTCAGAGTTTATCTCTCTAAGGATGGCTAGGCTTGAAAAGAGTAGAGGATTTGGGGCTTTGCCACCATCTTGTAGAAAAGCTTAATGCTTCATTTGCTAACCCAAAACCTAAAATGACTTCAGTGGCCAGGCGGCCTCACAGGCCTGAGTTCCATGTGGGTATTTTTTGCTGCAAATATTGGGAAATAAGAAAGAAATTCTGACTTGAGCAATTCTAAATCTTGCATGTGCCGAACGAGTCATGTGGGTATTGTCTGTTTGATTCCTACAGGCTTTGCTAAACTTCCTTCACTGAGGTTTGCTTTCCAACAGCCTCTGCTTATTGTGGTATTTCTATTTTTCAGAATTTTATGGCTTAGAGGCACTGACACTGAAATTCAACAGCTAACATTCCTCCACCCAGCCCCCACGAACAATTTCAAAAAAGTCAGCAATATAGTAATTACAAGTAATGAGTATTTTCATTTCCGTAAGTGAAAACGTGATTGATCTAACACTAAATAAAAATGATGTAACAACAATCTATAAGCTTAAAATTATTCAATATCACATCACAATCTCCGAATAGTTCATCTAATCCAACATAATTATGCCTCTCAAAAAACCTTAAGTAATCGTAATCATAGCATTTTTATTTTTAAACTTATGTGTTTTGTTTTGATATAAACAGTAATGGGGAATAAAACATTTTTCTTCTGATAGAACTAACAGAAGATACACAAAAGAGAATAAAAAAGACTTTTAGTGTCAAACCAATTTGTACTAATTATGAGAATAGCTACAACAATGCTTTAATAAGTTATATTTTCAGAGAGGAAAGAGTAAATATACATTTGGAAATCTTTATTCATAATTAAGTTACATCCCGCAGCTCCCAAACACATCTTAAAACACAGAGCACCACACGATCTCTGCCTCACTCTGTTTTTCTTTTATTTTTTTGCCTTAGCTTTCATTGTTGTTGTCACTTCCCATATCCTGCTGGTACAATAAGTTTTCACAGTTAGGAGGTGGTTTTCCACTGGATGTGCTTGCCCAGCTGCAGATTTCCAGTCTAAATAGCTGCCACAATCTCCTTTGTCAAAGCTAGCAAATATTTGCTTTTTCCCTAAGTTAAACATATATTTTTTTTGTTACTCACCAGTCTTGAGGTTTAGTGAAAAACGAACTCTTTTATTAATCTCCCTGCTAAACCTTGTATCTTGATGAGTATTCAACGTATTTAAACAGCTCACTGTCCATATTGTACTACGGGCAATTAGAACCCAGGTGCTTTGTTACGTAACTGGTACCTTGGATGGGACAGTACGATTCTCCCAGTGTGGCTGGATCCACAGAACTCTGTCATTCATGGACATACAGGAATATATTTATCAGTATGGATTATAGGTGGCTAGGAAGGATTTTCATAAACACTTTAGCGTTATAAAAACCAAGCCCTGGCCAGACAAGGTGGCTCACGCCTGTAATCCCAACACTTTAGGAGGCTGAGGCGGGCGGATCACGAGGTCAGGAGTTCGAGACCAGCCTGGCCAATATGGTGAAACTCTGTCTCTACTAAAAATACAAAAAATTATCCGGGCATGGTGGCACGTGCCTATAGTCCCAGCTACTCAGGAGGCTGAGGCAGGAGAATCGCTTGAACCCAGGAGGCGGAGGTTGCAGTGAGCCGAGATCACGCCACTGCACTCCGGCCTGGGTGACAGAGTGAGACTCCGTCTCAAATAAAACCAAACCAAACCAAACCAAACAACAACAACAAAAAACAAGTCCTATCGAAACCTAAGAAGTGCCATTAAGCAAAGAATATATACCATCTTGTCAAATTCTAAATCTAATTATATTTTTAAAGGGTTAAAAAAAAAAACCCCACATGCTGACAGTTTACATATCTGTTAGTGAGGAATACCCAGTCCAAATTTTTTACCACAAAAGCTAATGACCCTATTAACTCTAATTTGTTTACTCACCAGTCTGGAACAGTTTCTTCCACAGGTACCTCTTTGATGTTCAAAATTAAGCTTCCTAGAGGCTTGAGAAATTAAATGCTAAAGGAGGTCAATTATACAACCGTTGCCTAAAGACAGGGATTGCCACTCCCATGTCACTTTAAATTGACTATTTTTTTTCCCTTGATGAACAGATGAACACAAATACAACAAGATTACTACACAACACGTGTTAATCCCTCCGTCTGATTTGCTTGGATGTGGTGGATAGCTTTGAATGAGTGAACCTGAGCGTGCTGGAAAGGGCTTAATTAAAACCCAGAAAAATAGTCAGTGCTGGTTCCTTAGGTGAAATCTGAAATATACACCAAGATATTATCCAAACCAAAACAAACCAAAATGAAAGGGCATGTTTCATAAACATAGAGAATTCTTCTATTATCACTTGCAAAGCCGCATGTGGGAGAAAATTTGGTACACAGGATAGCGTGTGTGAATCATTCAGATTTTTCCCTGTGGTTCAGACATCAGCACTATTATGAAATAGTTGTGAAGTGGAAAAAGCATTCTGCTTATTGAAAAATAAATGAACAAACCAATTGTAAAACTGTTGGGATGTGCCAAGGGAATAAACCCTACCATAGATATGTGTGTGCGAAGAGAAGTTTTTGTTAATATCCTGAGTCCTGTAGCATTTCTGTAATAATTGGTAACAAAAGCATTTTGCAGAGGTACAGCCTGGCTCTGCAGGGCCAGTGCTAACTTCTCTGCTCTCTTTTCAGGCTTAACACAATTTCTCTGTCCCCACCTTTTATGGGTACCTATTCTCTACACTCTGGGGCCATCTCCTTCCCAGATAGGAGCTTTATTTGACTTTGGAAAAGATTAGTGATTCAGAAATAGACATTGCACATATCATTCCAGAGGCTGAAAATTGAGTCAGATAATGTCAGTTCCTCATAAAATAAGAAAATGGGCAATGGGTTGAAAAGGCCTCATCATCTGCTTCTAGAACAGTCTTGTCCTCCCTTCCATCTCTTACAGAACCTGAGGGATTTTTTTTTTTTCAGTTATTTCCAGTCTCTGTTTAGTTACATTCATTAAGGATATAATTGTCACTCTTTGGCTGTTGAATACATGACAGTGTACAAACCAGAGTATAAGCCCAGGATTTTAAGGGGGCATTACAATGGCTGAACAGTGCATCAGTACAAAAGAGGGTAGTGTTTGAGTGTAGAACCTCTGGAATCAGGCTGCAGAGATTGGAATCCCTACTCTGTCACTTGATAAGTGGGTCTGGGCTTAGTTCTTTTATCTGTAAAAGGGAAATAATAGTAATATTTACTCTAAGGTGTTAAATGAAGCAATACACATACAATGGTTAGGATACAACCTGGCACATAGTAAAAGGCTCATAAATATTAGTGACTTTTTTTTTTTTGGAGATGGAGTTTCGCCCTTGTTGCCCAGGCTGGAGTGCAATGGTGCAATCTCGGCTGACTGCAACCTCCCCCTCCCGAGTTCCAGCGATTCTCCTGCCTCAGCCGCCCGAGTAGCTGGGATAACAGGCATGTGCCACCACATCCAGCTCATTTTGTATTTTGGGGATGGGGTTTCTCCGTGTTGGTCAGGCTGGTCTCAAACTCCCAATCTCAGGTGATCTGCCCGCCTCGGCCTCCCAAAGTGCTGGGATTACAGTTGTGAGCCACCGCGCCCACCCATGACTATTGTTATTTTGGGGCCTGGGACTAAGTATCTAGCTCTTCAGTCTATGCTCTCATTCCCTCACAGAATGTGATTTTGGGTCTGATTCCCTTAGCCTTAGCTCTTTCTTTCTTTTTTTTTTTTTTAAATATTTTTTATTTTAAGTTCTGAGGTAGATGTGCAGGTATGTTACATAGATAAATGTGTGCCACGGTGGTTGGCTGTACCTATCAACCCATCACCTATGTATTAAGCCCTGCATACATTAGCTATTTTTCCTAATGCTCTCCCCTCCCCTGACCCCAACCCCCAACAGGCCACAGTGTGTGTTGTTCCCCTCCCTGTGTCCATGTGTTCTCATTGTTCAGCTCCTACTTATAAGTGAGAACATGCAGTGTTTCGTTTTCTGTTTCTGGGTTAGTTTGCTGAGGATAATGGCTTCCAGCTCCATCTATGTCCCTCCATGTACCTGCAAAGGACATGATATTGTTTCTTTTTATGGCTGCATAGTATTCCATGATGCATATGTACCATATTTTCTTTATCCAATCTACCATTGATGAGCATTTGGGTTGATTCCATGCCTTTGGTATTGTGAAGAGTGCTGCAGTGAACATAAGTATGCATGTATCTTTGTAATAGAATGATTTATATTCCTTTGGTATATTCCCAGTAAGGGGATTGCTGTATCAAATGTTGTTTCAGGTTCTAGATCTTAGCTCTTTCTTTATGAGATTCAGAACAATGTCTCATCATGGAATAAACAGTGAGGAGGTAATGGAGATGCAGCAAAACCACTGAGTTATAAGGAAGAGGTATTTAACAGTGTCACAGGAAAAGTATTAGGACATGAATATTTTAAAGAGTGAACTGGAGTCATCTATTTTAACCCCTAGACACAATTCGAACTCTCAAGCCACTATTTGGACTTCTGCTTAGAAGAGCACATTTAAATGTCCCTTTCACCATTTTTGGGACTCGACTCTGATATTGGGGTAGAACATATAGGCAGCAAGCAGAAAACAGGAAAAGAGACAGTGTGCTAAAGATAGGCCTTTCCTGGGTATTTGTGGCAGATCTTTTCAATGCAAATTGGAGAAGGGTCCTAGAAATACAGCCTTAGGAACATTTTGCTTCAAGTATGCGCAAAGGAGAAGGACAATGATCTTCAGTGAATGCAATAAACTCTAATGCAAGAAATGAAAAGTCCAACCTGTCCCAACCACTTGCAATGATGAGAGCAAAGAGAACACAGTAAGACATGGCAGAAATGATGTTTCCAAGTAGAAAAATGTGAGCCGGGGGAAAGCAGAGGCAATTCCTTAATCATTTGCACAAACTAAAATTTTTCATACACTTTGTTGTAAGAGAACTGGAACTTGATGTGTGAGCCCCACTACATATTGTAGAAGGTTGGTTGTATGCAGTTATGCATATGAAAGTTTCATGCAATTGAAGATTGTCTTTAACCAAAAACTGACTTGGACTTCAGCCCTGGCTGTACCACTTTTTAATAAAGCCAGTCCTTAGAGAATTCACCTAACATCGTTTGGCGTCAGTTACCTGACATATAAAATAGGGATAACCAAGACCTGTCTCACAAGTCTGTTCCAAGGTGTTGCTGTAATATATGGGAAATGCCTAGTGTGTTGCCTGAAATTTCCATTCGATATCCATTCTTCAGCCCTCCCGAGTGGCTACCACGCCTCAGGTTTTGCAATAATAAATGTCAGAATGTTTCGTAAATTACCTTTCATTCACACTCTGAAGTGTACATTTAGCCTTTCTAAGCAGATGGTTTTGTTTTTTTCTTAGACTTTGCTATAGTTACAGAACTGAGGAGTCACAAACAGCTGCCATTTTGACCAGAATCCCCCATCTCACCCTAACACACCTTCGCACACTGCCTCAACAAGGCTCATTGCTTCAAAACTATAGTACTCTTACAAATATTTGCAAAGCCAAGTGAGCTAAAGTAAAACTCCATAAATGGAAAAATCTCTTAAATTTTTATAAAATTCAAGGGAAAAATGTAATTATCTGCTACTGATTTTATTTCACTTTTTTTAATAGGAAAATTTGTAGCAAAAGTACAGATTAGACTGAGTTGAAGAAAAGAGTTCAATGCTCTGAATATATGACAACCTTTCCTCCACACCTGGAATTTTCAATATGATGTTAATGAGGTAGGCACAGAGTAAGTCAGTGAACCAAAGCTTTAAATTTTTTTTAAAAACTTTTTACTGTAATTACAATTTTAAAAATGGAATTAAAAAGTTTATGTTTTCACAGTAACATAACACTGTTGTGGAAAGGGTCGGAGTTATAGGTGAGAGTCAAAATCTTCAAAAATCTCATTTGAATTAGGTTTTTGAAGGATTAAAAGTGTTTACTGTTTTCCAAACTCTAAATTCTCATTTCATACAATTAAAATACATATTATTTACTATGGATTGACAGGATTATGTGTGTTGTGCTTGTGGTATTTCTTTATTTCATGTTTTTAAATATTTATATGTTTCTTAGTTGAGGTGGAAAATTATTTTCTAGTAAACTTTTTAAAAGTCAGCTTTGCTTCTCTAAAAGGAAAAGGAATAAAAGAAAACCTGTCTCATGCTGTGGTGTGAACCACCCCTTACCAAGAGCTAGCCTACGTCAAGTGGCTGGTTTTAGGTGGTTGTACTCAGGATGTGTTTAAACGGTATGAACTTCAGGAACGATTACAGGGACAAGAAAACAAGCGACAGGATTAGATGCAGGGAGGACCTACTGTTAAAGCCTCAGCTGTTTTATGACAATGTGAAGATTTTCTTTTTCAATAAAAAGCTCATATTTTGTGTATAGTGTTGAAGCAGAGATTTGAGGTTATTTATTGCGTGTTTTATTAGGCCAGAAGTTTGCAATAAGGTGTTCTCTTATTGTTCCCGTCTTTCTGGACTTAACATAAGCTTGTTGGGACTATTTCCTTCCTTTTCTTTATATATTTTATGGTCACAACTAATTGAAACAAATTGCACTTACTTTTATCTGAGTTTTCTAGGTTAGTGTTGGTATGAAATGGAGCTAAACCCTGAGGGCCTCCGGTTACATTTTTAAGAAAATTTTGATTGAGTTCTAGTTGTTCTGCTTCTGGCTGGTAAAAGTAGAATATATAATTTCTACAGAAATTCTGAAAAGTAAAAATATTTTTAAAAGCCTGTAAGATCCTTGCATTTCCCTTGCATGTGAATATTTATATTGCTTTGATTTTTTTTTTGTAATTATGAATGATTGAGAACTTGGCAATGAGAGCCCTCCAAACAGAGCACAGAGTTTAGCAGGCAGAAGATGCTCCAGAACTATAGGCTAAATGACTCAAAATGGTATAAATAACACCACAAAAAAAGTCTCAGAGGAATGTTTACTATAGACAACTTTTTGTAAACCACGGGAATGTCCTCCTTTAATGTGTAAGTTGCAGAAAAATGTAAAGAAACATTGTCTATATAATAGAGATTTAATGCATTCAAATACCCTTGCCCATTTGTTTCCTTACATTTTGCTTGTTCTAAAAAAACAATTATAGTCTCAAAAAGAAAGCACAGACACTTAATTAGTATCATTCTGCAGCTGCTCCTTAATAAATCAAGATGATAAATATGCGTCTAATATGCATTCTGGGCTGTTTCTAATCTAAATGTGTCTAGACTTGTGCACCTGATGCATTACATAGGAACTGGAGGGCAAATTAATACTATGATAGGAGAGTAAAATGTACTTCACTATTTATTATTTATGTTTGGTTGTTTCCTATAAAAACACTTTTAGGTGCCGTAGATAAGCTGGTTCACAGACTGTGGCAGAAATATATTCTGGTTTCAAACGCAGGTGGAAGCACAGGAGCCTGGGTGACAAATGAGTTAGCGACGAAGTGGGATTTAGATGTTTGTAATCATTGAGCCTTTCCAAAAAGAAGTGAACTTTTGTATTAAAAATGTAAAGGAGGAAACTGGAGCTGAGCTACCAGACAGCATGAAAGTCTGAGTTACAATAATTCATAAACACACACTTTAGGTAACAAAGATACGTCAATTCCACACTCTTCTTTGCTCTTCCATGGCATTTTCTTACTAAGAAAAAAAGAGGGGGCTCTGTTTCTACTTCTGGCTCCTGCAAGCTGCTGCACTATGCTTTGGGAATATAGAGAAAAATTGTGTAGACCTTGGCCTCAAGGGAACGTGGTAGACTGTTCTAGAAGAGAAATGTTAGGAGACAGATGACCACAACACAGCATAAGCACCTACATGAGAGACAGAAGTAGTGAGGAGAGTGTAGACTGGGGACCACAGCCTGGAAGCATAGACCTGAATGGGTGGCGAGAAGTTTCAAGAGTGGCACAGGAGCTTGGCCTATCTGGGATGTTGACCTCATGAGGGCCAGTAGTGAGCAATGAAGAAGGCGAGAAAGCAGGGATGAGATTGTGGACAGGCCTTTGTAGGACTGTGCTGAGGACTCCGAACTTCATCCTGAGGCTGATGGAGAGTCCCCTGAAGGGTTTTTGAGCTGGGAGTGATGCTGGGCACCCTAACACAGACTCTTAGGGGCCCCCGGTGCCATATTCAGTACAAGTCCATGCAGCTCTGGAATGTAGGCCAATTTTGTCTCTATCCCATTTTAAGCCTTTCTTTTGGAAATGTTTTCCGTGACTGGATACACCCCGCTGGCATTTTGACCCGCTGGTGGTCCACAGTCCTCCACTATAGAGCTCCCGACTACCCTCTTCTCCTAGCAGGTCCCCAGAGCGAGTTCTTCTGAAAATGTCTTGTACTCATTGGCTACCCCTCCTTTCTTGCTGGTTTGTCATGTAGGCAAGTAAATAAGCATGTAAATAAATAAATGAATGTATGTATGAACACTTTACATTCTTGAAGTCAGAGTCAAATCACCCGGAGCAAGGTACAGACATGGCTCTCAGAGTGAAGAGGAGGATTGCTGTTTTAGAGGGCAGCCTGTGAACCCAAACAAATGTCTCTTACGAGGGAGGGAAAGGAAGAAGTGAGAACACCTTCTTGCTGTACCCACGCATGAGCTCCTTCTGTCCTCCTCCTCCAGGCCTGAGCAAGGAGAGGCCCCCAGTACTCCAGCTTCTGCTGACCCATGCTAGGATCCCTTGGGCAAGTTTCCCATGTCATCATCTTCTCATCTGAGAAAGATTCCAAATGTCTGCCTATGGCTGCTGTGACAAGGTTTTAAAAATTATTAACCACAGGTTTGGTATAAATTGCATGATTACATTGATAAAAATAGCTGTTCCTCTTACGACACAAACTGAGCTGGTGCCATAGCACTGCCCTGTCTATGAATTTTTCTTCCTAAACAGAGTAGCTTTCTCCTCGATTCTAGAATGAGGGCTTCCTCTGCCCATTGGACATCTCTGTGGCATCCCTGGTTCCAGCGACCACTCATATTCTTCTGATATTTTAACTATTTTCTTGAATGCTTGCTTTTTCTTCACCCTCCCCCCAAAGTAAATGTGTATTTCTTAACATGCATATGGGCCTTCTTACCAAAAGGGGGAATAAAGTTAACTTAAGGACATTACCATATCAGATTTCAGTTCTGGATATAGCTTCTACATACATTACAGTTCTAAATATACCAGGATTAAGATAATTTAAGAAACATGGAGCATTAGCTCCAAAACTTTACTCTAGAGTGAGAAAAAGGATGAACCTTATCTTTGAATTCTCCTTAGAGAGTCACTCCCTCCTCACCAGAGTTCTGCTTTCCTGACTTTTAAGAAACGAACCTCCCATTGGCTGCGTGTTACCTTTCAGATGCTTCTTTCTCTTTCTTAAATTCTGCCTTGACACCATTCCCTAGAAAGAACGGGGTCATTTCCTTTTAGTTGTGTTTATGAGGATGTCTGACACATCTGTTTCCTTTTTGTTACACTTTCTTTTTTTAAAAAAAATGTGTGGTTATTCATGTTTTTTATTGAGTAATTTTATCTATCTTTAGTAGGTTTAATTTGTTTTGTTTCGTGTTTATTTTGAGGCTACTATGACAAAACACTTTTACCCCTTGGAGAATCTGGGGTGGATGGACCAGAAAATTATGGACAGCTCTGAGGATAGCAGGGGGAAATCTCTCAGAGGCTTTGTTTTTGTGTTTGTTTGTTATATTTGGTATGTTGTTTGTCTGGACCTCACATTTTTTTTTTCTACTTGTTCGAATGGTCAGTTTTCTGACTTTGGGTTTAAATGGCCTAAATACCATATCAATGTTCAAAGGGAAGAAAAAAATAATTCAAAAATATTTTCTGCTGTGAAAGTTAACTGCCAATAAATATGGTCTAACTTTTCAGCATCGTCTGAGTTCCATGTAGCCACTGTGCCACTATTTCCATTTTATGTAATAAGCATTGTACACACACCCACGTAAGACATTTATATCACTATTGAACTCACATATGGAGGAGACGGTGCTAAGCTCTAAAGAGTGAAATTAAATGTTGACACCGATAAAGCTTGAAAAGAGGAAAGTGAGCATTTAATTAGGGGGTTTGCTTGCATTTGTTCTGTGGCATTCAGTTTTAGTTTTATTTTACTCTCTAACTCTGATGCTCTACTCCACTGAAATAAATTATAGAGTGACAAATGTTTCCACATTCCCCTCACCCTTGTGATTGTAGGGGAAGGATGGATTCACTCTGGGCACTCACATGTGCCATTGAATGAACTGTTGGATTTCATCTACTCTTTCTTAATTTGTGTCAACTTTCTCTAAATATCCCTCACCCTTAGCACCTCCGTAAATTCCTTCCTCCCTATGCACTGCTTTGACCAGAACTGAAATCATTCCACTTAGGGCGAGGCAGCTGTCAAGTTCTGTTCAATCCTTTTCCATTCCTTATTGTGACCTTAAGAAGGCCCACCTGCTGGGTGCCAACCACCTGCAAGAAGGTCAATTCTGTGGATGGAATCTATAAACAGTAGTGATCATACCCTAGGATTAAACTCAGAGGCTTAAAGCTTTCTCGCAGGGGACAAGGAGACAAGGAACGAGCAGTGTTGGAAGGAAGCCCGAAGAGTTACAAAGAGATCGAACAAAAATACCAAAAGTGTAAAAAAAAAAAATTGCACCTTAGCCAGAAAGCCTAAGTTTCATAATTTTAGGAGAGTAATAAACTCTATCCAAGAAAACATTCATTTCAAATTTTCCATCCCACAAATCAGAGGCCACCCCAGTAATTGTCTCTGATAATTCACCCACATTCCCTTCAACAAACAAGTTTATTGCCCAATTTTGACCTCTGTAAATAAAGAAGTGTTGCCTACAGATAGGGTTTTTATAGGTCGTGAAAATTGCCTTTCAGTTTACACCTTTGCTTAGAGTAAGTGAAAGTGCCATGTTCCACGTGTAGTTTCTTTCCTCCCTATGATCTCGGGTTGCAGGCTTTATTTTTTAACCTTTAAAACAAATTCATCATTCTTTCATGTTAGGGAATTCCTACCCAAAGAAAGGTGGGAGGCAGCAGGGAGGTCAAATTGCCTGTACGTGCTGCTCAATTTTGTTAGCATTTCCCCCTTCCCAACTTCTTTTTTAATCCTGGCCAAAAAAAAAAAAAAAAAAAAAAAAAAGTGTTGGAAATAATCCCCATCGTCACTCTTGATGTCAGAAGTGCTTTTGGATTCACTGAAAAGAATAGATTAACATCAAGCAGTGACGGATCAAGTCAGAGTTTGACCTTCCTGGCATCAGTGGGATGACATGAAAATAGACCAAGCTACATTCAACATGGCAAAAGTGGGACAAAACAGGGGATCCAGCCGTATTTGGTATTTTTAGCTTTCTGCCATGTGACAATTAGCAGTTTAAAATAATTCACAGTGTCACCCTTCAGAGCCGACGGACAGTTCAGCACACTTCCAAAAGTGTATGTACGTATTAAAGCTCATGTGCAAATGATTAATAGCATTACAAACACCGAAGTAAACAACTAAAAAGTTAAATAAATAATTCATTTCTTTCCCCAGAATCCTCCCTATGGTCAACCTTAAAATACTGCTTGTAAGGCATCATACCCACTTCAATAATGTCAGCTGCTGATCATTAATTGCTTCAGAAAAAGACAATATTTTATCCATCCTCTTTGGAGTTCCAGTGTGAATGGGGAAGCAAAAGAGAGTGAAACTGAGTGAAACATGAAAAGCTTGATTTGTTAGGACCCCTGCTGTCTGAAAAGAGATCAAAGCTCAGAGGGAGGCTGTAAAACAGCCGAATGCACAGCACTGAAACATGGCCCGTGGCAGCTGCTCTGGGCACTTGCTGACAACCCAGGTGTGCCTGCAACTCCACTCTGCCAGCTGAATCATGGGAGTAAGCTACCTCTCCTCTTCCTTCATTATTTCAACGGCAGTCACGGAGGAGATGCGGGCTCCATCCATCACAATGCACAAATTCACAGTGCGCAGATTCAGCACAGGCCTAATTAAAGCTTTTCCTTTCATTTGTGGAGATAATTAGACTTTCATCTCACCAGGAAGCTTCAGAAAGATCTATTTCTTTCTTCAATAAAAGCTACATCAAACAAAAGCAGATTTTAATCGCCTTTTCTTTGGGGCATGAGTCAATAATGAAAGATGTCACGGGTAACCAAAAGTTGTGTGCAGAAAAAAAGAGAGAGGCGAAGAAAACCGCCTAAGCAATGTTCTTTAATTAACATCATGTTTGCAAACACCATTAATTTCTCTCATTAAAATGATTTTTATCTGCAACTGATTGTTGATAAAACAATCGATTTGAGCATCTCATCTGTTTCACCGCTATTCAAGAACCCATCTGCTGTGCTGTAAAGCAGTAATCACGCAGGCTGTTAAGCAACATGTGAGAACAATAAAAAATGCATGCGTGTGTGTCAGGGATTTGTGAGGCTGACTGCAGGGCAAGGGCCACCTTTCCACAGGACATGTATAAAAAATGACTTGGTGTCAGGCTAAAGGACAAAACGTCACAAAGATCAGAAGTGCATAAATAAAAACACAAATTAATATGTGCCGGCAGAAAAAGCTCCATCTGTGTTTAGGAATCGTTTCGTAAACAGATTCTGAAGAGGAAGGCAGGGAATTTACATGCATTTAATAGTGTGCCATTGGTTGGTGTGATGTAATTTCAGATGACACACGTGTGACTTGTCTACTGTTTAAGAGACTCTTGGTGTTTCAAAAGGAAAATTCTCACCCTGAAGGCTTTTTGAGAATTGTTGATGTTAGCTTCTTCTCCCCATGACTTTAGCCATGTGAAAATAAATACTTCTGTGGGATAGAGATGAATCTGGGGAATCAGTTGTGAAATCAACTTGAGAGGCAGAGGAGTTGAGAGCAAGTATACATTGAAAAACTGTAAGGCTGGACCAGATGCCACGAGATCAGGTACGGATACCAAAATCTATCTGGGCACAAGTTTAAAGGATTTGCTTAGAATCAAACTGGAAAAATACATTTTAGCCTTTTGGAAGGAAACCTTCAGGTGGTCTGGTCCTAGTTCCCACAGCTCCATGCTGAGACTTTGTAATGCTGCCTGTTGCTATTTTAGGAATTCTAATAAGAGTTACTGAGATCACATAATATTGGAATACACACTATTTGTAATAGTTTTAGGAATTCTAATAAGAGTTACTGAGACCACATAATATTGGAATACACACTATTTGTAACAGTTCTCAGAAAGAGTAACTTCTTTCTTTTATTGATGTAAAGGCTATCCCTCTCTGACTTCCAGTCTCTGGTGGTGATTCTGTCTTTTGGAACCACGGTGTAAGATTAGAGTTGTCCTCATCATGGTCCTTCAATCCCTGAGATTTGGCCTTTTTACTCTGTGACATGCATGGTGAGGCACTGTTCTGCCCAAATCCAGGAGGGAATGTCCATTTCTGGCCGCTGTATCAGAAGTGCATCTTCTGAGATGATGCCGGACAGCGTATCTCGGTTTTCCCCATCCCTTGACTTCTCCATGATGAATATCTTGTTCCTTCAGGCATTCTTTAGATGATATTTTTTCCCAGCTTTTTGAAGGACTGAGTCTTTCTCTTCAAATATATTCCAGGATGTCAATTTCCCAATTAAGATACAGCGGCCAGAAATGAACATTCCGTCCTGGATTTGGGCAGGACAGTGCCTCACCATGCATGTCACTGAGTAAAAAGGCCAAATATTCAAAGTGGATTTTTCTTTTCTAAGAAATAAGAATGATTTGTGAGAAATCAAAATAGTGTTATATCCCAAGAAGTCCCTAAACTTTCTGGCAGGATGAGAGTACAAAGTTTTCAGGAGAAATATTGTTCTTTATTATTGATACAGTCAGTAATTTAAACTATTACTCCTAGGTCATTATTTGCAGAGTATATTTGTCTTTAATATCCTGTACTTTAAGATCCTATGCTATGGAAAGTTTCTGCCAAGGACAAAATCTTGTCTTCATATGATCAACCCAACTGGCTAAAAAGTAAAACGTTTTTTATCAATCTATTCATTCTGCTTCCAGGACTGGAAATAATTTTTTGACCTATTAAATAAGCATTTGACAACTGATAAAAAGTACATGATTTTAGTGTCACACAAATCCAGGGAAGGAAGTGAGGCCCTCTATTTGTTGTTTTTAGGATGTGAAAGTATAATTTCGGCTGAAAGTTTTGGGATAGCTGATGTTTTTAAGCAAAATATAGAAATTTACTAAAATAAAATTGGAGAAGTTAGCAGAGAACCCTAATTGAATTTCTGCTATAATCTTTTGCAAAGATTTCTTTGCAAAATCTTTGTCTTTGGATCATTAAATTTAGAGAGCTTGGTCCTCTGGTTCTTTTAGTTTTCTGAGTAGAGAAATATAAACATCTTGGTCACACAGCCCATCCTATTATGAGTTATACAAAGTTCGCTAGAAATAAACGGAAAGTTTGCTGTGTTATCACTGTTATTCAGTAAAAAGAAAATAATGCTGCGGTGTATCACTGCAAATTTACTTTAAGGCTTAACATGGAAAAAATAAACAGCTTATTGGGGAAAATAGGAAAAAAGAAAATAAATAGGTTCTCAACAGTTGTTCAAAGAAAATTAAACTCCATCCTTGTGCATTTGTAGGAACTGGTATTATTGCATTTGTAGGAATTGGTATTATTTACTGTTGGGTGCCAAAGTTGCAACTAAAAACATATTTGCAATTATCTACTCAGGATGTGCTGCCACACCTGCTGCCTGCTAAAGCTACCAGCATTTTAACAATTTCTTCCTGTGGGAAGAGCAAACAGTGCCATTTCCAATGAGAGTGCTGTCCATTAGCCCACAGATGAGAAGTGCTGAAAAGTGGTGTGAGTGTTCCCCAGAGACTGGGCTTCTCACAGCACACCTGATATCGAGCAGAGCAAATTGGTGTCTCGAGGTCATTTCAGAAATCAGATTATGTGCATGACAACACAAGGCACCGCTGCTATGCCATCTGCCCGGCCCACACCTGGCACATTTAACCCCAAATGCTTTTTGTGGAGTCGAATCAGTGTGTTCTCTTGGGCCAGTGTCGCAGGCTCTGTCAGGCAAAGATCAATTGCATGTCATCACTCAGGCTAGCAGGGCTAAGTAAACAAATTTATGATGTTATTAGGGATTAATATGATTTTGCAAAACATACAATGGCTTGATACTTTAGTATACTTCGGGGATTGTCTTGATTTCTTAACTATAGGAGACAGCTGTCCAAAATACACCCAGCACCACAAGCTGTACCCAACCTCAGAGTGGGTTGAGGTCTTCAAGGTAAGTGCGTTGCCATTTAAAGTGTATTTCCCAAGGAAACACCTAATACAAGCTAGTTTGGTTCCTGGCCTGTGCCCCTGAAGCCTATTCAGCTAACTGGATTGTAGTTGCACTGTAATACTGCTAGAACTATCCTGAATTCTGGGTCTTGAGAAGGGAAGGTGGCAGTGGGAAAGGAGGAAGAGGATGAAAATGAGGAAGAAGTAGAGGAGACAATAGGAGAAAATAGAAGAAGAGGTAAAGAGGGGGAGGAGGAGGAATTTTCTTCTGCTTTTCCTAGAGAAGCATTTCAAACCAGCAGTTCCTGTTTTCTTCTGCACTGGTTCCTTACTCTATTAGAAGGAGCCTGCTCTTGGGAGCTACATTAGAAGGGAGAAAAGAAAAAAAGGATTGGGGGAAAATGCAGACGAGGCAAGAGTAAGAAGAGAGACAAGCGTGAGCTGTGGCTTACGCGGAGGCTCATTCCACAGTCGGGAGCAGCGGCAGGTCAGTTGTGGGCCATCTGGAAGTTGGCTGTTTCCAAGCCAGGGGGCTGCTTCTATTCAGAATGGCTGCTCCAGTTTCCCTGCACTTGACCATGAGGGCCACAAGGACAAAGCGAGAAAATGCCTGGCTAACAACTCCCAGCCCCCTGCTCAAGTGCGGCTCCAGTGTAAACCAGGTAACTAAAGGATGATTAAGGCACAGTGCTCAAGTGGAGCCTGTTTTGTCACTAAAACCTTGGATTAACCAGCAGGAAAAGTGGAAATGCTGCTGTCACTTAGGAACAAATAAGAAATAAACAGCATACTACACTGCTTGGAGACACTTCCAGCCATGGAAGGGGTGGTTTCTAAGGAGCCTGACAGCCTCCTTCCGAGCGGAGCAGGAACTGTGCAGCGAATGCAGCTACTGTGGTCAGAAAGGAAGGGAAGAAAGGCTTTAAATGCCAAGCTCTTGGCTGAGAACCACTGGCATGAGAAGAGCTTCTGTCCCCACTCATATAGACAGATAATTTGGCGGAAACTAACTTTGAGCAGAGAAAGTTTCCTGGGTATTAGTTAAAAGCAGGTAGAGAACTAGGGAGTCCCAACACCAGACGCTCCCCATCCTCTGCCTGAGGGAACTCCACCCTCCCTTTGGGTCAGAATAGTTTATGGAAATGGGAAAAGTTCCCCGATACATGATGCAAACTTCCCACATAACTTGCTTTCAAGATAATATCTGACCCCTTTAATCTTTGCAGATCACTGTCTGAGGTTACATCTCACCATTTGGTTTTGCAATCTACAAATAAAAATGGGGGAAAGCAGAAGAAAATTTTATAGCTACAAACTATATGTCACTGTATAAATGATCATATTTAATTTAATTTAACTTTTTAGAGACAGAGTCTCACTGTGTTGCCTAGGCTGGAGTGCAGTGGTGCAATCACATCTCACTGTAACCTTGAACTCCTGGGCTCAAGCAATCCTTCCACCTCAGCCTCCTGAGTAGATGGGATCACAGGATCAGGCCAGCATGCCCAGCTATTTTTTAATTTTTTTGTAGAGATGGGGGTCTTGCTATGTTGCCCAGACTGGTCTCAAACTCCCGGCCTCAAGGTGGGACCTCCCACCTCGGTCTCCCAGGGTGCTGGAATTATAGATGTGAGGCACTGCATGTCCAGCTGAATGATCATATTTTACATTTATGTTAGAGTTTCCAAAGTGTCTTCCCATTTTTAAGAAGAAACAAAGGCCAGAGAAGGGAAGCTGTAAATGGTCACGGCCAGCGAGTGGTCTGCAGTCTGATAACCCAGTGGGATGTGCTTTTGCTGAAAATTATGACGAATGCCAAAAAACTCCCTCTTGAGGCTGTTTGTTCACTCTTGCTCTGCTTGCTCCCAGCGACCCTTTATTGTCGGCAGCACACCTGTGAGGCCACCTACCTGACGCTGGCCTGAGGAGGGTTTCTGTAGGAACTGAGCTTCCGGTAGGCAAATGCTAACTGCTCCCCAGCAGGGACTGGCTTAGCTACACTCCTTCTTCCCTCTTTCCCTATGGGTCAGGTAAGTACTGGAAGCCAGGCCCATAGCAATAAATGAAACCCAGTCTCCACCACCAAGCAGGTTAGAACCACACCGTGCTAGTTCTGGCCAATGGAAAGACTGTCTTCCAGGACATGAGACATATCATCTCCACCCACAAATACAGGATGCCATTAGGGAGAATTCCCACTAGTTCTGTTCTCAGGTTCCCACAAGGAAATTTAGGAAACCTGAATACCTGTTTCCCTAAGCCTGATTTTCTCATTTTACTCCAGACCCTCCCATTAAGAAGAGAGCCCTGTTTGTGGCTCACACAGCTTTCTGTCCTCATTCCACAGAGAGCTCCCATGCACCCCTCTCCACCACCCACAGCATCCCCAGCCATCAGCATCTTGTAGCAGATGTTGGCCCATGTGCTACAATGGATGAACCAACATTAACAATCACTATCATCCGGTGTCCATAGTTTACATTGGGTTCACTCTTGGTGTTGTACATTCTGTGGGCTTTGACCAATATATAATGGCCTGTCTCTGCCATTATAGTATCACATAGAAGAGTTTCGTTGCCTAAAATCTCCTGTGCTTCACCTTCTAAATAAGGTTTTGCTTCAAACTGACTGAATTTCCCAGAACATTAATACAGTCACTCCTTGACTCCAGAAGGCAATGATGCCTGGAAATCCCACCTTCTTGGGTTCTACTAGGTATTGATGTGGGCCAGAAACAGGCACTGTTAATCCGAATGCTTGTGAGTGTCCTGGGCTGGACCTCCAGCTGCACCTGCCCTTCACCCTGGTTTCTTTCCCTCCTGACTTATGTCCCGGCTCGCCCTGTAGCTGAGCCTGCATGGGTTATGGCATCTATGTCCTCAGACTCTATAGCACCGACTTGAAATCATTGAATTCAGTTTATTTATATTAGATGGAACTGGATTGTCCAATCAATTAATTCAATTGCCCTGTTTTCACCTTTGAACTCATAACATTTTAGGGAGATATTTATGGACATGACTGGTCCTGTGCATAGAAAAAAAACCAATCTGGCTGGGCGTGTTGGCTCACGCCTGTAATCTCAGCACTTTGGGAGGTCAAGGCGGGCAGATTACGAGGCCAGGAATTCGAGAGCAGCCTGGCCAACCTAGTGAAACCCCGCCTCTACTAAAAATACAAAACAATTAGCCAGACGTGGTGGCGGGTGCCTGTAATCCCACTACTTGGGAGGCTGAGGCAGGAGAATCAGTTGAACCCGGGAGGCGGAGGTTGCGGTGAGCTGAGATCGCACCACTGCACTCCAGCCCAGGCGACAGTGCGAGACTCCATCTTAAAAAAAAAAAACAAAAAAGGAAAGAAAAAAGAAAAAAACCCAATCCATTCCCTCACTATCATTAAGAGAACCTTTAGGGCTTGGAGCCAGGGCAAGAAAAATCGACTTTCAAAAGGCTGGGACATCTCCCAGATCTTCCCTGCCTCTGTGTCCTCAAGTCATCCAGCTGGAGGTCTGAAACAGCTGCCTTCTCCACCACCCGCCACCACCAGCAAGGTCCAAACGTGGTGCCAACTCCTTAAGTTGCCACTTTTAGCCAAGTCCTGAAGTCATTTTCTGCCATGGTAATTTCTTTTCTTTGATTGGCCCAGAAAGGCAGCTGGTGACTCTATGAGGTGGGCGGGAAGCCAGGCATGGGCAGGTGGACTGTCCGGTCATTAGCGGCTGGGCCCCCAGGTAAAAGCCACAACAAGAGATTAGGGGTACTGACAGGTGGGGCAGGGGTTCCCTGTAACCATGTTGTCAGGCTAGCCTTGCATATTTAGGTTTTTCTCTGAAAATATAAATCTATCCCCAATGACTGAATAGGGAGCAGGCCCTGCTGGAATTGTATGAACTTAAAAGAAACACCAAGCAGTTTCTAGGAAGACACCCAAAATGATTCAGTTCTAACCTCTGCAGAAAGAAGAAAACTGCATTCTGAGCAGAGTAGTTGCCTCGTATTATCGATAAAAGTAAATACAAATGGGGACAGAGGATATAAACATGTGAATATGATACCTTTGAGCGCAAAGTGGATTATACTAAGTAAACCAGAGGGATGACAATTTTATATTTCCTTTCTACTGATATTTTTCAGTAATAAACAATAAACATTTGATTTACAAAATGGAAGTGACTGAAATTTATAGTGTAAGCATCTCAATTGTATGAACATCTGACTGATGATCCAGGGTGACTAACCTCTCCAGATTTGCAGTCTTTTCATCCATAGCCACAAAATACACAGTGACTTGAAAGAGCATATTTTTTGTTTGTTCCCTGTGTCCAGCCTCCCCCACCCCCGATCCCCCGGTCAGGGCTATCTGCCTGAGAAAAGCTGCAACATTTTTTTTTTTTTTCCATAAGGCCGGGTGCGGTGGCTCACACCTGTAATCCCAGCACTTTGGGAGGCAGGGGCAGGCAGATCTCCTGGGGTCAAGAGTTTGAGACCAACCTGACCAATATGATGAAACCCCCTCTCTACTAAAAATACAAAAATTAGCCGGGCATGGTGACACATGCCTGTAATCCCAGCTACTCAGGAGGATGAGACGGGAGAATCGCTTGAACCTAAGAGGCGTAGGTTGCAGTGAGCCGAGATCACACCACTGCACTCCAGCCTGGGCAACAAGAGTGAAACTCTGTCTCAAAAAAAAAGTGGATTTTGTTTCATCAAAAGTTTCAGTGAAAAACAGTCTCTTAAAAGAAACATAATTCAAAATCACTAATGCCAAATTAAGAAAGGGTTTGAGAAGATGTGCTGGAGCAGTATGATGGGTCTAATTTTCTAGACTGCGCCACTTCTGAAAGTTTACCTTTCTTCGGCCTGAAAGATTTCCCCGTCTGAAAAGTCACTTATCTCTTTTATCCCAAGTATAAAACTGAGGACCATACAGGAAACACCCGAGTGTCTACTTATTTTTTAAAGTTCTTAATGTACAGCAATCATATCCATTTCTGATTGTATGGCTTCAGGCACATCCCTTTACCCCACCCAGCTTCCTTTCCATCATCTGAGATATTTCTTGTGGGTCACTGTGAATATTGGAAGAAAGTGTGTAAATTCCCAGCACTCTTTGGTGGCTGTTTAAGTCTCCCCTTCTAGTTTTCTTTCATGCCTCACTCTAGTAATAGGTTGCTCACAGTCACTCATCATCTCCCTCCTCTGTGCCCCTTCATGTCAGCCAGCCACATATTCTCACTATACTGCATTTTCCTTGTTCAAGATAACAACGATGGCATGGAATTATCAAGGAGTTGCTAAGAATCTCTGTTGTAACCCTTCCCTTTAGATGCTAGGTTTTATTGTTGGATGCTATCATTGACTGAAAATAGGTTGTTTATAGGTACCCTACTAAAGCATTCCAAATTATTATATTATAGTTCTAAATTTAAATTGAAATCAAAAATGTGAGAGAAGTCTGAGGAAACTCATGATATTGCTGTCCATTTGCTTATGACTGTCAGTCACGTGGGAAGCATCTGGTTCACACCCTGGGAGATGTTCGTCCTCTGTGACATCCAACAATAGAATCATGGAGTTAGAAGTGGTCATCCTGTTCAGTGTTGGCTAAGTTGTGGGTCATTATCTATTATTGGGAACTGAAATCAATCCAACAAGATGAAATAGCATTAAAAACTGAATTCGGTTAAACCAGAGTAGAATGGAATATATGAGTAAAATGTGTGTGATTAAGAGTTATTTTTTGAACAACTGTATTTCAATTCTATAGACTTCTATGTGTGAATACATCTAATATAAAATGTATTGCTTACTGTGGATCACAGTAAAAAGAAAAAAGATAGAAGTTATTATCTAACCCTTCTCCTAGTTAACGCCTTACTAATCAATACTTAAAAGTTAATGCTATATGATATCCCCTTGCCTTCTTACCCCTGACAGGGTGATATTTAAACATCTGCTTGAATCCTATCAGTGGTGATGAATTTTCGTGTTCATGAAATTGTCAGTTCTATTTCCAGCCCTAATGATACTACTGGTCCTTACAGTGAGCCATATCTGTATGAGGTGTGGTTCTGTAACTGCATCCTATTAGACGTGACTCTAAACGCTGGAGCAACACAGACTAAATGTCTCCCCGCTCCACATGTTAGCCCTTTAAGTATTTGACAACAGCTATAATTTTCCCACTGATTTAGAACCTCTATTTTCTTCAGCATCTTCTCATGTGGCATCCTTTACCATCGTCTTAAGCTTATCATGCCTTTTTTTCTGGGAGCAGGGAGTGTGTAAATGCCTTCTTGAGACAGGATGTTTAGAACTGAGTGGAGTCCTTCACATCTGACCTGCCAAACCAGGGTTCTGAGGGATTTTCACCTCCTTGATTTTGATACCATGCTTTTGGTAATATGGTCAAAAAATAAATTAGCTTTTTTTTCACACACTTGACTATTATTGAATTTATAGTCAACTAAAATGTATTTTTCACAGATGTTTCTCCAAGCCTTATTGACTCCTCTCTGAAATGTGGTTATCTTTTTTTAGGGGTAAGGCTGTAGGTTGAGGACTATATTCTTGTTAGATTATATTCAAGCTGGTGTGGCTCTATTTGAATGTAGATGCTTCTACCTCTGAATTAATTGCCTGTCACAGTTATATATCACCTATAAACTTGAGAAATATGCCATTTATGACCCTAAAAGTCGTGACTGAAACTTTGACCAGGAAAGAGAGTACCTGTTTTTGAATTCTTGTACTGCAGTAGAAAGCCAGTGAGTTGACTATGTGTAACTCAAAATATTTTCTATTTGAAAACACCATTATCAATGATGTTGTGTTTCCAGCTCATCCATTTTCTTTTTAGTGGAATACCTACCATTGAAATAGAAATAACATTTATTGAACTTATTCTTGGTTAGCAACAAATGTGAAACTGTAATTAATAGAAAGCAAGAAGTGGGGAAGTAGTTTGCGGGGTTATTAAGTTTGATCATTAAAACAAACAAGCAAATCAATCTGCTATTTCTTGAAGCATAAAGGACAATAGGTACTGAAGTTTCAAGATAAAAGGACAAAATAGTACTCTAGTTTCCTGATTCCTTTTTCTTTCGATTTGAACAGCCTTCCTCCATTTTTGTTTTGCTTCCTCTGTATTTGAAGGACTGGGCCTCATGATCACTTTATTCAGGCATTACAATAAGATTTATCGATTACACGTGGTTGCAGCCACAACAAACTTATGTTTTCTTTCATTTCAACATTTTCCTTTTCATCCATCCAAAGCCTCCTACCTGCACTTCCAACCAATTACCACTGGAACAAAAATAAAAGGCTGGACTAGGAATGAAAAGCAAGGAAAAAAAATATGCATCTTCTATAGGGTAGTAGACAGTCTTTCAAAGCTCATAAATAGTGTGGGATAGGTAGTTTCATTATAACTTCGCTGATGAGGGAGCTGCTGTTAAAAATATAATGATTCCCAGGTCAAGTAATTGAGTAACAATGAACATATGTGTCTATGTGTGTGCCTCTGTATGTATGTGTCTATTAGAATGAAGATTAAATATGTATACATGTGCATATGTCTATCTATGGGATGCTGTCTATTCTCAAGGAACGAAAAATACAAATGCCTAGAAAAAGTCGTGAGCTACTTAAATTCTTTATTCTAAATATCATTCATGGAAAAAATATGTCTACAGGCTGTAACATTTCAGTGGGTGTGTAGGAGGCATAATATAAATGCCTTTTATAATTGGAATCTAAAATATGAAATCAGTCTTCAATGAAATTTATAATAGTGATTTCTCTGTGTATAGGGAGCTAGAAAATGTTACTGCCCACAAGGTTGCTAGACCAACCTTTGATTATCCAGATACAATTAATATAAAAGGGTAATATGTGAGTGTCATTTATCCTCAGGGCTCATAAGTATAAAAACAGTAACACACTGTGAAAGTAATGGTAACACTTAGAGGTCCCATTATTATTAATTCATTTGACATTCACCGTAATCACACTGGTCTTAATGAATTCATTTGGCACGTGCATATTGCATGTACCTTCAAACACACGCCATAGTAAATCGATGCTAACGAAATGTGTTGAATTCAGATAAACTATGATTTTTTTTAAAAAGGAGCATTTAAAATTATACATTGAAAAGTTACATCTCAATATTTTATTTTAATGGCAAGAAACATTGTAAATAAGGAACAGTTAAAATAATTTTATTTTATCACAAAAATATATTTTAGTAAATGTTTAGTTAAATGTGGTCTGTGGGCTACTGATTTCCGAAGCCCATTTATGAATGTACAGATATATGTGTACAGAATGTTCAGAATAAAACATCAAAGTAATGCATGGATGAACAGTGAAGAAATTTAATCATAAATGTGCAAGCACTATAAACACTAAAGGGAAGATAAGTGTTGAATAGCTTTCAAATATCACATTGTCAAAGATTTAATTTTGTCTGCAAAATAGATCCACATTTGCCAAACTAGTCTTTTTCTGCTCCTCAAGTTTCGTTTCTCCTACTCTGTTATTTTTTCCTTGGGCCTCTTCAGATTTCTTGAGGCCCAGCGTTCATTTCTGTGACAGCTCTAAGTGATCACAAAGTATATTCAATACCTACTCGTTAATGACTGGGACAATATCTGTGACTTGTCATTTTCTGGTCATTTGCTCTGGCAGGTGTCTGATACTTTGCTGGTAGCCACTCTGAGTTCATTTGGGGGATATTTTATCTCCAAATGTAAACAGTAAGCACCCCAGGTAGACTGGATGAGCAAAGTTTTATGTTTCTTTTTTTTTTTTTTTTTTTTAATTTGTCTCTTCCTACCCTTCCAAAGTGCCTGGAATTTTGCTGGGCATTTTCTAGCTTTTTGCCAGTTTAGGATTCCTTAGATAATGGGTATTTATATTTTAAACAAAAAATTCTCTCATGCATCCCCATATTTTCCTATAAGAAGTTTGTTCTTTGTTGCTGACCTCAGTCCCTCTAACAGATTCATTTCACCTGCACACAGGGGCATACACACAAAATCTAAGACTATAATTTTATTTTTATTCAACATCAACTTTACACGCAAAGTGTCGTCGTCATACACCATTGCTGATATTTCAATGTCTTTTAAAATGAATGTCTCTCTCTCTCTCTCTCTCTCTCTCGTGTATACTAAATGTTTGCAAAAGACCTGTCCTAAGGAGCTTTAGGTCTAGTGAGGAAGAAAGCAATTACTCTATATAGTCATCCTTTTTCATAATGGAGAGAAATAAGGGCTGTTTGGGAATCTCACTGGTCACAGAAGAGGAGAATGCTTAGAAGTTTTCTAGAGGGACTTCATTTCTGCATACAGGCAAAGTTCTCTGAAATATTAAAACCCTCCAGAACGTTGTAGGCATTGTCCCTGATGCCTGAGGTGCTGATTTCCCAACTCCTTCGCTAACTCCTATGACTCCTTTAGTTTGTAGCCCAGACTTAACTTACTCCTGGAATTTTCCATTTCTCCCCCTTAATCTGCATTGAAGGAAAGTGGTTCTTCCACTGTGTAGTTCCTACTCACTAAGAACCTGTTTGTCTTGATAATTAACTAAACTATAAACTCAAGGAAGAAAATATCTATGTCTATATTGATTTTCCTTACTGATTATCTTTAATTCAATGCCTGAAACTTAATAAATTCTCAGTAAGTCATTTTGAATGATGGATAAATATGGGTATAGTATTGGAGTTGAACATGCAAGAAAAAATAAGAGATAACTTCTCCGAACAAGATGAAGTAGGTGGGAATTGGGGAATAATTTGGAAAGATGGCACGGAAGTGGCAAGCAGAAGTTTCCGATGAAGTATTCACGACATCTTGAAGATGAAGGGGACCTATTAATGAATTTTAATTGGGGAAATTAACATGAGGATTTATAAAGATGACACCAAAGATGAATATGGGAAGCACTTTGGAAGAAAATGAGTGGCTATACGGTGACAAACTGGAAGTCTTATTTTATTGGTTCAGAAGGGAAATTATGAAGAACTTCATAATTTGATTAGATTGAAGGATAAGGAAAAGGGAGGTAAACATTTTACGTGTAAGACCACTGAACATGACAGATAGTAGGGGCAATAAGAAAAAGAGAAGCTGAGCCGGGTGCGGTGGCTCATGCCTGTAATCCCAGCACTTTGGGAGGCTGAGGCGGGTGGATCGCCTGAGGTCAGGAGTTTGAGACCAGCCTGGCCAACATAGTGAAACCCCATCTCTATTAAAAATACAAAAAATTAGCTGGGCGTGGTGGCGGACACCTGTAATCCCAGCTACTTGGGAGGCTGAGGCAGGAGAATCACTTGAACCCGGGAGGCGGAGGTTGCAGTGAGCTAAGATTGCGCCATTGCACTCCAGCCTGGGCAACAAGAGCAAAACTCTGTCTCAAAAAAAGAAGCCAACGGACTTTGGCAGATTTGAGTTTTCAGCTGTTGACATTTTAGTTGGTGTATATAACAGTTAAGTGAACAAAATTCATGGACCACTGATGGAGAATATAAGTCATTAGTAGCAAATATTATAGAACCAGACTGCTTGGTTCAAATCTTGAGTTCACCACTTATTAGGTGTATAACCCTTGACAAGTTACTTAATGGCTCTGTGCCTCAGTATCCTCACTTATAAAAGAGATAAAAGAAACATATGCACCTCACAGGGCTGCTGTGAGGATTAAATGAGTTAACATGCATAAATTTCCTTGATTACTGCCTAGCCCTATATGATACTGCCTAGTGAGTCCTCTATAAGTATTTGATATTATTATTGCGGTGGTTGTTCTTATTGTTGTTATGGTAAATAGAGGTATGGAGGGAGCTCTGCAGAAAGATCTTGAATAGGCACGTTAATTTGGGATCATTGGTACGTAGGCGAATGTCAAAGCTTTAGGGTGAAATAGATCAAATACAACTTATCTCTATAACTTTATTTTATTTTATTACTTTTTGAGATGGAGTTTTGCTCCTGTTGCCCAGGCTGGAGTGCAATAGTGTGATTTCGGCTCACTGTATCCTGCGCCTCTTGGCTCCTGTGCCTCCTGCCTCAGCCTCCCAAGTAGCTGAGGTTACAGGCATGCACCACCATGCCCGGCTAATTTTGTGTTTTTGTTGTTATTGTTTGTTTTTTACTAGAGACGGGGTTTCACCATGTTGGTCAGGCTGGTCTCGAACTGACCTCAGGTGATCCACCTGCCTCGGCCTCTCAAAGTGCTGGGATTACAGGTTTGAGCCACCACGCCTGGTCGTACCTCTATAACCTTAAACCACTCCTCTCCAGAGACTTCAAAATCTTATTTGTCAAAAAGAAAATTAATTCTATCATTTTTGTGTTACCTTAATCTTTTGGCATGCTTACATTTGCAGACTTCATCTAGAATTTTTTTTTTTTTTTTTTTTAGAGACTGGTTCTTGCCCTGTTGCCCAGGCTGAAGTGCAGTGACATGATCCTAGCTCACTGTAACTTTGAACTCCTGGGTTCAAGTGATCCACCTGCCTTAGCCTCCCAAAATATTGAGATTAAAGGCATGAGCCACAGTGTCTGGCCTCATCTAGGCTGTTTTGATGCATGAGTTCTTATCTAGGGAAGATAATCCCTGCACACCTTTAGACCAAAATCTCCCTGGTGCCAAAACCTCCCTGGTGCTTATTCTTCATTCCAAATTTTTTTTTTTTCTCACAATGGTCTGGTTCATACTTATCACTGCTTCTATTTGAAGTTTTGGGAAAACTTGGAACTAATCAAATGGTATATAGAGAAAACTTCTTATTTACTATGGCCAATATATTTATTGGCATACATAGAATTAAAAAGAGGTTATCTTGATATATGACCAGAGAAAGTAACATTAAATAGATATACATGAAAATGTATAATTTCAAGAGAACTAAAGTTTATCTAATCTAACTCTCTCATATTACAGATGGGAAGAGTGAGTTGAGAAAGATGGAGTGACTGGCCTGTGATAACACCGAAACTTGTTTGCCTGTTGTATTTTGCAACACAGTTTAGCTGGGATAAAAAAAATCTGTAGAACAATGATAGAATCTACGTCTAATTGTGTAAATAAAACCGAAAATATTCACGATGGAAATCATAATTTTTATCACAGCCAGCCAAGGATGTTTACTAATATTTTAAAAGAAGCACCGTTATGTTAATGGAAAACAGAACAACAAACTTGCCAGAACTAGACTGCTAAGTGCATTCTTTCTAATTTCATTCTGTACTTACAAAATGCTTATTACTGAAATAATTAATATATTTCATTTATGTTTCTGTACTGTCAATACTATCTGCATTTATTGCTTCATACTTACAATGCCTCTTGGTTAAAAAGAGATGAACTGAATTTCTACAGACTGTTCTTTTGAGACTGGCTAAAATATGTGGTATTTTGTGAAAAAGAGAAGCAGTATTGAGCTTTTTCTCAAAATGTGTACAAGCTTAATTTTATCACACCTGAAAAAGATTTTCAAATTAAAGAGGTCTTTTTCAAGAATTGTGGCATAGACCTTCTCACGTGCATAAATGCACAAACCTATTGGTTCAAGCATCCAAAGAATATTATTGATGACTGTCTAAACATTATAGGAGCACAGCAACACTATGTTTGCATAATAGTAAATGCTAATAAAATGACAAAAAAGTTTACCTACTACTACTAAGAAGAAACGGCGGCTTAAGTTAATTTGGCCAAATATAGATTTGCTTCCAAAACGCCATTCACTAGAATAGGAGAATTGATGAAAGTAACATTATCATATGAGTTTTAATTTTTAAAGCTTTTTATAATAAGTTAAGGAAGTGGTATTCACTTTTTCCTTGTTAAGGCCAACTGTCAGAATACATTAAGCGAGGTGATTTACATAAGTAGATAAATTACTAAGGTAGAAAACTACAAATTAATGTCCACTTTTCTGGTTTAAAAGCAAAATCATACATAGAATAATGTATTTTAATAGCACTCATCTCTGCAAACTTTCAACAATGAATTTCAAGAAAATCATTACTTAACCTACTTTTCAACATCATTCAAAAGTGATTAATTGGCATGACTATTTCTGTATCTATATCTTTAAAAGAAATCCTAAAGTATATATCTCACATATGGGAAATACTACCTGTTCCTTACTCTGTCTTTGCATAATTTTAAATATTTATATACAATATAGTTGAGAAATATGAGGAATAACCCATTTCTAATTATCTGGTCTTAGATTTTTTTCTAACATTTGGGGTAAGAGAAGCAGAGAAAATGAGAAAATATATGTATATATAAAGCAAAATTCCATTTTATTTTGAATAATCAACATACACATTTACTTTCTCAAAAGTGCTTCTATATTTATATCTTGCAGTGTGAAGATGAATTATGACTTCATTTTTTTCATAGTGAATACAGCTTTTACTTATATTTACAAAAAAAGAAGCCTAAAACCAACCAAGAAAAATTGTAAACTTTAATTTTACTATAATCTTTCCTGTTTAATATAGCATTTACCACTCCCATTCTGTCTTAATAAAGTCAGTAAATAAGTGCCACACTTATTAAAATTTAGAAAGCTTTTTTTTTCAGGTAGACCATAGATTTTTTTTAGGCATTCGTAAATCACGAAGTCTCAGAAGGTATTTTTTAAAACTTACAAACAGAGTCAAAATTAGTTTGCAAGATATTACAAAATGATTTTAATTTTAAAATACATTGCATGACACATTTTTTAAAATACAAAATGCAAAATTACGCTTGTTTTGGAGGGTAGAGGGGAAATGCTTAGAAAATTTCAAATCACCAGAGAGCATGATACTTGAAAAATCTGAAGACAGATGGAAAATTATTTGCTCCATAGCACAAGACTCTAGAGACTCATCAAAGGGTAAAAGTTCTGCACAGCACACATCACATTATAGATTCTCATTTTAAAAAATAACATGACTGGTAGGAATAATGTAAGTTATTACTGATAACAATTATAAGCACTGACATTATTATAATTCTTACCAATATGCAGGGTGTTTTTACTGAAATGATTTTCTGTACTCATGACGAATATCAGCATAAAATGAGGAAGAGTTTCTGTAGCTCTTTTTGAAAACTCCATAAAAATGACTACCACTAGTTCTGTCCTCTTGCTCGGGATTAGGGCAATTAGTCCGGTGCATTGTTTCTGAATGGAATGCCATGCTTTATTGTATTAACTGATTTTGTTGGAGTAGAAAAAAAACAGATACTGTTTAAACTCATAAAGATGTTTGCAGTATTAGCGTTGTCCCAGATACGTTATTGACTGGATGGATGCCTCAGCACATCCCCGTGGGCTGTCACAAACTTGCAAAACAGGCAAAGTGGAACCTGTGGATGGCAAGATACCATCTGGTGATACTGAGCCATCTCTAGGTAGACATTAAAAATATTCCCTCATGAAACTGCAAACAAAAAATAGGTTATGTTCAGTTGCACAATAGGGTGCGTATAGTTAATAATGTGTTATATATTTCAAAATAACGAAAAGAGTGAAATTAGAATGTTCCTAACAGAAAGAAATAACAAATGCTTGAGGTGATAGATACCCCATTACCCTGATTTGATTATTACACTTCGATTTAAGATATCACATGTGCCCTACAAATAGGTACAACTAATATGTATTTAAAATAACAAAAAACTGAAGAACTTTAACTAAAATAGGTCATATTTCCAGAAGATAAAATATAATCTTAATTCTGTGCAAGCATACTACAATATACACTGCAAAATTAAAATGAATTTTATTTAACCTATTCTAAAACCAAATGATCTGGAAATATTACAAATGTCATTACTAAATTAAAAATATATCCTGATGGATAATTTATAAATGAACCATAATTACTAAATTGCAAGCTATGTTGGGCTGAAAATACAATTTTCCATGAGCTTTACTTTATTATAAAGTTTAAAACCTGGATTTTAAAAAAGTGAAATTAGTTATTTAAAGAACCTTAAAAGATTCTAGCTTTCTATATATGGAATTTCTAATTTTATACACACACATGCATGTACACATATATCTGTTATTAGATTGTTTTTCCTATTATACGAAATAGGGTATAGTGTGTAGTCAAATATTTTGTACAACTTCTTAAAATAAACAGTGAGACTTCCAGATGATTCAAACAGAGCTCAGATCAAATGTTAATGTTCCTGAACTAGGAATATGGCTATAAATAAATTACTGAAAGTAAAGAACCCGCATTGATTATAATTTAAATTGTTTAGTCTCAGCCTTATTTGAATTTAACTATTGCACACCCATGCACACACACACACACCTATGTGCACATACAATCGTACTTTTAAAAGTCCAATCTGGTTTCTCTATTTTTGAAGTTAAGTAGCTTATTCTAGGGCTTTCTGATAGCCATTGCCAAGGAGAGCTTTGTCTCATGAAAGGAAATTGGAAGTGATACAAGTATGATTCTTTTAGAGACAGTGAAGTCCTAAAACTCAATATTGTTCATGGAGCAGAAAGAGGTTGAGGTTTTCAGGCCAGAGGCTGCCTTGGGAAGAAACACTGGGCATTTACAGAATTGCAGTGCCATTGCCTACAGATGAATGAATGGTTTTCTCAGCACCCTGCCAATTTCCAGGGAAGTCCCCTCTGGTCACTTGCCACTGAGTCTGTCAGCATTCTTGAGAGGATATTATTGCAAGGCTCAGAGGACCTTGAGGCTGATCAAGGCAGCCATGGCAAGAAGATTTTGCTGCTGGTTGATTTCTGCCCAGTATAGGCAGATGTGAGAGAAGCAGCTCAGCCAGGTTCGTGACGAGGCAAATACCATTACTTTGGCAAAGATTTCATTTTGAAAAATTTAACAAGCGGTATTATTTGGTGGCTCAGACACTCTCTGCTGTGTGCATTCAACCTGCCAGATAAGAACTCTGAATCTTGCAATGGGTTTCTATTTGTTATAATCTATATCTATATAAGACTATGTATAAAAAACCAAACTGATGGTCAAGCCGACTTACCGAGAAATTTGCATAAAATCCAGTTTAATCTATTCTATTATTTAAGATGGTCAAAATATGCAGTTTTTTTAAGTGGCCACATAGGTGGCTAAAAGACAACTTGTTTACCAAAAGTTCTGGAAATTGGCCCAAATCATGGTAAAATTGACTACATTTCCTACAGTTTTTTTCCCAATTCAAAATCAAATTATAAGTACTGCTGATTGCTGAACCAAAAAACGAATCTTTCCAGAGAAAGAGGTGATGTTCACCCTGTGGTTTGTTTCAAATCCCCACAGAGATGAGAAATCAGGAGGGTCAGAGATAAGAAAGGCTTGGAGATGACCACAGAAAGCAGAAAGACTTGCTGCCAAACCCCGACTTCTCACCAATTGTACTGATGAAGCAATGAAAATCACCATCTCTTCCACCTATAGAATGCATAGTATATTTATGGACACATAGTGTATGACGTGTATAGAAAAATATCATTCAGTCCTTGAAATCAACATGCAAGGTGAGTATCTTTTATTCCATTTCAGGGAAACAGATCTCAGAGAAGTTAAGTAGAGGCTCAGTACAAAGCCAAGAAGAATCCAACTGGCTGCCTGACTGCAAAGCCCAGGTTTGTTCTACAACCTTCCCTCTAGAATCTCTGAAATAATCCACCATGACTTGGAGACCCAGCCCAATATGCAATTCAGGTCTCATTTGGTTGGAACTAGACATTTTTCATGACTTTCAGGAGTCATTATTACCTCTAGAGTTTTGGAAGCCCAGCTCTCAGAGTGGGAATTTTTTTTAACATCTATATTGTTGCCCAGAGGCAGGTCCTGCTAGCAGTGTTTGCTGAAGCCTGGACGCCATACTTCTTTTTCCCGCACACCCTGCAGGGGCATATAGGGGTCTGGATCTAATGCGGCAGGACCACCCAGATATGCTTTTCTGGACCCTGTGCCTTCAATAGATCTGAATTTCTGGGAGGTCAGATATCCAGAGATGCTTCAGGTATTGCTATGATCTGAATGTTTGTGTCTCTCCTCAAATTCATATGGGGAAATTCTAACCCCCAAATTAATGATATTAGGAGGTGGTGACTTTGGGGAGGTGATTAGGTCATGAGGGCAGAGCCTCCTTGAGTGAGATTATTACCCTCGTAAAAAAGGCCTAGAGACCTCTTGCCCCTTCCACCATGTGAGAACACAGTAAAAAGATACTGCCTGTTAACCAGGAAGAGGGCCTTTACCAGATGCTGAGTCTGCTGGTACTCTGATCTTGACGTCCCTGCCTCCAGAACTGTGAGAAGTTAATTTCTATTGTTTATAACCCATGCAGTCTATGGTATTTTGTTTCAACAGCCCAAACGCACTAATACAGGTGGGGTTGTCAGATTTACTCATAGGCGTGCCGGCATTAGAGACTAAAAAGTAAACAGTCAAACAAACAAAAACCAACCACCAGCCAATCTACTAACCTATCTAAAACAAGCGTGTTGGATCCGTCACACTTTCTGCTACACCCCCTCTATCTTCTAGTTGAAAATGTTTTACAATCTCTAATTGACTATACAAATTGTTTTAAGAACAAAGATTGTATATTATACATGTTTATATTCCTCATGCTTTTATATGGTATGCGCATCATTTATGAACTGCAGTTAATTTGTAATTGTGATTTTAAACAATTATGAATCTTATTTATGTATTTTTGGCTACATTCCATCCATAATGAGTCACATTTAAATTTTTACTCACAAACATATCTCAAGTATACATTTTAGACAAATAACTTTCTATTAGAAGATTATATTTTTAACCTAGAAGGATTCATTAACATGTACCAGATGCCAATGTAATTGTACATTATCTTGGAATTCTAATACTTCGAAAATTGTGTAGCTATCGTCTTTAGGTTTATTATCTGGATGTAATCTACCACACTGCTTTTCTGTTTAACCTAGAACGAATTTTTATGTTAAGACTATGCACCTCTGAAAATAGAGGTTGGTAATGAAAACTGTAACACAACATCAACTGTGGTGTTGTAAATAGCGCCGCTATAAACTTTCTTTATAGAGACCCATCTAATGTAAGTACATAAGAAAGGCCTCAAAAGCTTAAAAAGACCTAACTTGTCCTATTTGATTTTATCTGCGATTCATTTAGCTGAAGATAAGCCAAGTGCAAGCTAATGACCTCCTTTTTTATATATCTAATTTTCAGCTATGCTTCAGTATGATCATATACACTTTTAAATGAGCCATATTCTTCACAGCTAATTGGTGGGGCCAGAGAAGTGCATCAACATGCTATGGTACTTTGTCTTCTTCCCAGTTTGAGTCCTTACTGGGTATTTAAGCTGACAATGTGAATGTGGCAAGTCTCCGGATTTCAGCTGTGCTGGCAGCGGAGGCCACTCTGAGAGATGGGCAATATGGCTTCTGTGTGTGCCCTTCATCAGAGCAAGCATTAAAGGAGAAGAGTGTGTGGTTTGCAACCTTCTGTACCTGGTGTGTATTGCTTTCCTGCTGAGGTGTGTTGGGGCAGCGAGGTCTGAATTTGGTGTATTGTCAAGGTGGTGAAGTGTGAATCTGGTGTCTTGTCAAGAAAAGAAAGATATTTTTGCAAAATGTTTTCACAAAATAAAGTCTTAGATAAACTCAAACACATATTGCAGGTTTTTTTTTTCTCTCAAGTTTTTGAATGGCATCTTAAGGTCTTTATTCCTATTAGGAATTTCACATCTTAAAATTTTTCACGCAGTGGCTTAAGGTAAAAATTGAAGTCTCTGAAATGAGAAATCTTTGCATTTAACATTTTTGTTTTAGTAAGGATTGGTTCATTTGAAACAGGTGTTCCAATTATTTTGAGGTATAAATTAGATTTTATCTTATTTTACTGATGCAGTAGGCATTGCTTTTATATTTTTAAACTAATTCCCTGTTGATCAACATTGAAATACTTGGTTCACCAACTGTGATATTAGGCATCAATGCAGCATTAATGAATTAACTGTGTTCTTTATTTCTATGTGCCAATTTCATACGTTAATGATGTTATCCGTATTACCTACCTAGAATGATTTAACAGTTACTTTAGTATTGGAAAATATACATTAAAATATTTAAAGTTTCCACTTTGAAAATCTGTTTTTTTGCCATCAAAGAATTCTGTTTTTCACAAGAAATGAAAAATCAAAGTGATACTCTTTTTTTTAAAAAAAATCTTCTTCTACCGTACCTTTAGTACATCTAATATAAATTAGACAAGTGATGAATAATGCGTCAGCAGGAATCTTCTTTCCTTTGGCATTAATCTCTTAGTTTTATATAGAAACGTTACTATTTCTAGCTTCGAGAACACAAATGTGTACTAAGAGCAATGAGTTATGGACCTGACAGGTTACAGACAAGTTAAAATCCAGTTTAAAAGTGTCCTTATTTTAATGCTTTATTGAATTCTTAAATTAGGAAAAATATTAGCTAAAATTAAAATAATTTGTTTTGATTTACGTTTATTTTGATAGAGGCCATCAGTGACTACCGTTTAAAATCACTGTCAATGATTGACACTTATGTTTTAAATTCTCACTCAGAAAAATTAATACAATTGTTAAAACAAGGACGCTTCCAGCTGTCAATTAATATTATCTAAAGAAAAACACCTGTGGTTTTATTTGGGGTAATCTTTTATTTTTCTTCCTGGATCAAGAGTCTTTCTGCCCTAAGTAGATATGTGTATTGTTTCAGTTTTCCATTTACAAAATAATCCTTGAAGAAATCTCATTGACTTTTAATTTTCATAACTCTTTATATCAATATTTAACAGAGGTAGGTAATCATTTCCAGCATAGCTAGCCCGGCCTTACATAAAATTAGGCAGGGTAGGAAATTACTTTCATTACCGCCTCTTTCCCTTATCCTTTTCAAAGAGGAAGAAATTAATTCATCTGTTAGGCTACATGTAAAAAAAAAATTAGTTCTGATCTTTATATAGTTGTGTAATTTAAATTAGTACCTGATTCTCTAAAGTCCACAATTTAGGACAGAACAGAATCTACTGCAGCAACTAATTAAACACTTACTGTAAGGTTAAGTTTTTCATTAAATCAATAGGCCTCTAGTGTCAGTTACAAAGCCCTAATTACTATGCAGTAAATTTAGATTGAATTTGAATTAAGGACTGATTTCAATCTAACCGCAGCATGTAAATATTGTAAATTACTAGAATTACAGTTCAATAAAATTGAATGAATTTCACTTTAGATAAACCAGATGCAAATGAGAAGAAAAAAGATCTGATGAAAATTCCTCCAAATATCTCACCGGAAGAGTCACACATCACATATAGGATATTGTTTTGGCAATGAGCATGTCACAGCTCAAGAGTTCCTTTAACATGTTTTAATATTTGATTATCTATAGGAAAAATGAATAAATTTAATCTCTCCCGAGTGATCAAGCAAAATGATGGTTAATGTGGCCGCTTACTGTGTTGCTTTAGTGTGATGGCTGTATTGTTATGTTAAAGCACAGTATGAAATCAGGTTATCAGGTTATAACTAGCTGGGATAAAATACACACACGCAGGCACACATGCGAGGGCTGGAAATACAAACCAAACCGCGTTCTTAGCACAAGTCAGATCGTTTTAAAGTTAAAAAAAATCAAATGTGCAGACACTCATCCTGCCATTGAAACAATGTAAAACTGAAAATAGCTTAAAGTTTGTGAACCTTTCATTTTGCTTTAAATATGTATTCTATGCATAGAAAATAGACTAAAAAACTGTAAGGAATCAGGGCAAGTTTTGACTACAGAGAAAAGAAGTTTACTACCAATCATCTGTTGGAGATAGAAGTTTGCTGATAAAGAACTGCTTGTAACACACAATTACCGCATAGCCTTTTGAAAGGGAAGGCTGAAGGATTTTTAGAATAAGATGAGTCACATGGCTGAGACTTGTATTGATACCACTGCATGGTCTTTCTTAATTTACCTACCCTGGCATTTTAAGTTGGGCTGAAGAAAAGCCAAATCAAATATAAAATATCAAAATTATATATGTAAAACCATGTCTGAGAAAAATCTAAGGAAATACGATCTATAATTAGAAAAGCGATGAGCTTACAATTAAACTTTAAATCAGTCATTAAAAAATCCCTCTGAATATTACATATCTTTTGTTTTCAATTCTTTGGTATATTTCGGTAAAACTTTTTCTCAGAATTATTTCTAAGACTTGCAGATGAGTCTGAAAGAGTTCCACTTTATTAAAGCTACGGATTTAATCCACAGAATGACTACGATTTTTTTCTGCCTTCCTTTCTGATGATGTTCGCTCAATTAGCATCATAGTGTGAACGTACTAATTGCGACAACAAAGGATAAAATTATACCTCTCACCAGAGAAGTGTCACAGCAGTCTTAAGCTGTAAAAATAGTAATTAAAAAAACACGTTCCCAAAAAGCAATATTAACTGGCAAAAACGGTACAGGTTCTGGACAATTTAGTCTGAAACTACTGGAGAAATATATGTTCAATCTCAATCTGCCAGTAGATATTAAGTTCTTCCAGTAGAAAGCCCCAAATTCTTTTTACACTTGTTTCAGAGAAGAACTCAGAATTATCCACTCACAGCTGTAGTTTTACATTTTAATAACGTTTTTCTGCTTTTGCCTGAGAAGGTATTAATATGCCCAAAGAATGGTGTCACTTATTTTTTGTGTCTGGGATACCCTCTGCTTCGTGGCACAAAAGGTGGAATGTTCATATCTCACTCTAGGTATCGGCCGAACACCGTATGTCAAGAAGAATGATTGCTTGGGATTGGCCTGTGTCTTCCTTCCATTTATATTTATTTCTGCTTCTGTGAGATTTTAGTCAATGGATGGGAGTATAATTGAAGAATGGTAAATCATGCAGACATATAAAACGAAAGGTCGGTAAAATACAGAGACAAAACATATGCAGTGGACCTTCTAGAAAGTACCTGGCGGAGGCAAAAGTGACCCAAAAGCAGAGGTGAGGATATCTTTCCTCTTAGAAAGGGAACCTTTTTTTGAGGGAGAAAGGGGAAAACAGTCATCAACAAAGCATCTCTTTAAATCTTAGTAAGTATAAATTAATAAATAAGCAGATCAATACCTTACAGTTAGGGATTTATGATTTGGAAGAATCATACATATCTCCACAAAGTAGCTACACTGTACACCTATGCATTTGTAACTCTGAACCATCGCTACTCATTTCCCATATGGTTTCAATGATGAAAATGAGCAAAATAAGTGTGTAGATTACAGTGAAACAAAAGTCAAACCAATGGTTGCAGGAACAGCAAAATATTTACAGGTTGTGGAAGTTAAGGCCAACAGAATTTTATGTTGATGTATTAAGTGATAATGGGATAATAAATGTGTGAGACTGATTTTCGGCCTAAGTGTAGAAAGGAGAAGTTGTCATTTCTTTTTCAAGTACACATCATTATGCTAATTACCTTGATCTGATCACTATTACATTATATATATCAAAACATCATTACATACCCTATTAATAGATACAATTATTATATGTCAGTCAAAAAATAAAATTAAATACAATTTTTTAAAAATATTCATCACAACTTTTTCCTATAATGTGAAGGCAGTTGATCTGATTTTAAGCATGGATTATCAATCAATACTTCCTAATTGTTCTGATGTTCATTTCTATTGAAGTAGCTCTGATGACTGCTTTGCTAATTAACTAACAAAGAACAAAATCTGAAACATACAATGACTTAGCCACATTGTTTCTAAGGATTTGTTTTGTAGACATTTTTGAAGAATATATGAATTTAAATGTCAAATTAATTCTAAGAATAATGATAATTCACCTTTATTGAGCACTTACTATGTGCTAGACACATAGAATACGTATCTCTCCTTTTTTGCACATGAAGAGACTAAAGTGTAGACAGAATAAAGGTGCTCAGTGCCTCAGAGAGTGAGCAATAGACCTGAGGTCCTGGCCAAACTGCTGGAAGAGAGAAGGTACTGAAACTGGATTTCACAGCCAGCCTGGCTAGATTGTTAGCTTTCTGGTTTACGTGGTTTTACTCTAGTTAATTAACCTCTCTGGGCCTTAGTTGCATCACTGTAAAATGTGAGATACTAATAACTATTTCCTAGGATTGTTGAGCATATGAATGGGTTACAGCAAATGGCCGTGCCTCTTCCATCTGTCAGTCTATGTAGCACATTTATTGAAATATGTTTCCAAATTGGAAAATTACGAATTACTTAAATACCCTCATATATGAACAGACAAACGGAAATGATAAAATCTTTGAAGAGTTCTCTCTATATTGTCACATTAAGCCATATACTCATAGAAAACAGAGCCTGGATAGCATCGGCATGAAACATCATGTTACCTTTGAGGAGGAGGAGATGGTAGTGGGAGGAAATTTTACTTTTGATTTAATACATTTGTGTATTCTGTGAATGTGTTACAGGTAGATTGTATTACTTCTGATATTTGAGCAAAAGCAATAAAGTTTTCAAAAAAAAAGAAAAGAGAGTTTTTTATAGGTTTTTTTCTTATAAAACTCTACAAAATTCTTAAAGTGTTATCCTCAAGTAGGTATACTTTCATTCAACTTTTTAATTTTGATTTATCATGAAGAATTTTTTAAGTCAATTTTATTCTAGTCGTTTCATGGTGAATGTCAATCGCTGTATGAGAAATCTCCATATTCATTTTCAGTTTTGAAACATAATTATTTCCTTCACCCTTTACTCATGGAATAATAATGCTGCCAAGACCTTTCAACCTTATCATTCATATATAAGTGAATGACACACATGAACAGTTCTAATAAACATATATGTAACTATTAATATATATCTATATTATATATATATCAATACATCTATATTATACCTCTATATCTATATATAGCTATATATAGTTTCATCTGGATATATATATTTAAAACTATATGCGTGGTTTTATATCTATAAAACATATCTATATATAGATAGAGATAAAACTACATATCTCCATATATACAAAGCTTTCATTTAACTTTTAAACATATACCAAAAAGTGGGGACTTCTTCATGCATATGTTAATTTTGGCAGAAAGAAATAAAAAATATTCCTTCTAAATAATGCAGCCAACTTATTAATAGTGGATGTCTATTCTAGAATAATATCACCAGTTCATTCACAAAATATCACCAAAATTAACACTGAATCGTATGTTTGGTTAACATCAAACGTTGATAACAAGTGTCAGTAAAAGTTAAATCTGTCTTTCAATTTAATGGTTGATTTTAACCTTGTGTAACTTAAATTTAGTTTTTTACAACACATTTTCCCATTATTTGCAAATTGAGACACAATTATAAGCTTTATGCTCTCATTCTCATAACTTTGGTGACCTTCTGCATGAGCAACTATTTCCAGGTGGTAATCTGAATGAATAAAACATGTGTCTTTATTTTTATAGATGGTAAGCAGAAAAGAGAAAAAAATAAACATTTTAAATAAATGTGGTAGGATCCTTAGCAACTCAGTTTATAGGAATTGATCTAGGTTTCGGTGTAAGACAACTGTGCACATAAACTCACAGCTGATCCTGAAAAAATATTGGAATTAGCTATCAATTAATTTTATTTGTATGATGATTTGTACTTTGTGATCATACAAATAAAATTAACATTACTGGTTACTGTGATTGCTAGGTGGTTATTGGTCACTGTGATTGCTAGGTCATAGCTTAAAAACATACAGCGGCATAGAACTGAAAATTTTACAAAGCACTTTGCAAATATTCTCTCACCCATTAAGCCTCACATCTATCCAGTGAAGTGAGTTAGAGCTATTTTAATTATTCTCACATGATAGCTGAAGGAACTGAACTGACATCTTCGAATGTAATTTTATTTTACATTTCAATCTTTTTATAAAAAGAAAAATATATACATACATGGAGAACAGTTCAAAAGATGTTTATCTTTTCAGTATCAACAAGGTAGGACAAATCATGATTTTATGTTAAAATGAGTCCTATTAATTTTTTTGATATAAAGCTATAATTCCTCTGTGTGTGTTTTTTAAAATTTTGTCTGAAAGAGGCCATATTTATGACAGTAGAATAAAGTACAGGACCATTTTTCCAAGAGAAAGGAAGACAGGAGGGCTGGACAGATAGGTCCAGTATGACTTAAATGATTTTAATAAAGTGATTTTAACTTTATTAAAATAAAGGTTTTTTAAGTCCTCTGGCAAAGACCACAGGGTTTCTCTCCAAAATCCTTCTCCTAGTTTTCACAGCCATGCTATGTATAGGTAATTAGTTACTTGCTTTGTGATGCGTAGGCAATTGAAGCATCCGGGTTCTACAAGAGAATGCTTAGTTGTCAGTCTCTGCCTTTTGTGACATGTATACCAAGGAGGGTACTATCTACTATTCCAATTAGCATTTTTCAAGATGTTCATAATGGTTACCTAACATGATATTTGCAAATATCACTGTTTAAAATAACCATATTAAATTAAATGCTAAAATTGGGAATATTTTCCTCAATCATTTAAAATTTGACTTTAGCAAAGTGCATTAATTGGATGGCAAACAACACCAAGTATTTATCTATTAGAATGTTCTTCACTACTGAGTCAAATTCTGAATGTTTGTGATGTGTCATTTCTCTCTACTAGGTGCAAAATCTAGAAGAGAAAAACTTGCATAAGAATGTGCAAAGCATTACTTATTTATATGTAAAACCCTTATTCTATTTTGTTATTTTAGATTAAATCCCGTTTCAATTCTATTCTCTCAGGGAAGCATTAACAGTTTGAGCTCAGCGTGAAAACCATCAAACACTTGAGCTGAAATTTAGATTGGGCAATTTTGTCTGGTGAAGTAGAAAAGGACATGTGGAATGGCAAGGAACAGAATGGCTTATGGAAAGGCAGATGTTTTAATAATGTGTCATCTAGCGGGAGTTTTCAGATATCTAAATTTAAATCTCTTGATATACTTAAAGAAAGTATGCTGAAGAGAAAGTGTTCTTTTACTGAAAGAATTAATAAATTCCTTGAAGATCTGTCTTCAAGGAAAATGAAGGATTGAAAATGGCCGGTGTATTTTCAAAAGCAAAGGTTGAAATCAAAAGCGGTTACAACCTGAAGCTTGCAAATGTGAGCAGACAGCACGGACGTTCAGGGCTTTCATGGTGATCCCTGTTGTTGGCCAACACGGCATGTTGCAGCAGTAGGAGCGTGATCGAGTTCCTAGGTGTCTTAGGCAGCAAGGAGTAGCAGCAACATTACCAAAGAAATTCTGAGTTCACTTAAAGATGCCATTTTAATGAAAGACTATACTAATGTATGTCTTTAAATCTGGTTTTTATAGCTTTTTCAAAAGGTACTAGTAAGGTTATTATAATACCGTATGATAATGTTACATTAAAATAAACTCCAAGCTTGTAGCACATTTGCATTTTATGGACTGATTTTTCATGAGCAAAACTGTAATTGTGGCTTTTTGAAGAGAATGTCTACACATAAAGTACAAGTAGTCTCCCAATCTGCTCATTTATAAGCTCTGTCCCATTAAGGATAATTGAAATATTTGCCACTAGCATTTAATTGATATGGTTATAATTTTTATGGAATGTTTGGAGACAACTTTTCATATAATCCAATTCATTTCTCATGTACACAAGCAAGCTGCAAACATTTTTCCATCGTTAATGATTTAAATAGGCTACCCTGTCTTTCTGTGAAGGACAGGGGGAGGGTAAGGCCATTTAAAAATCTCTTACTGCACACTCAAAAATATAACACCAAAATTGTAGACTCCTGTTTTTCTCCTTTAAGTATTCACGTGATTCAGAATGTATAAATATGTATGAGTAATTGGAAGCATCATCAGTGACAATGAATCACACCCAAATACTCAGGCTCTAATGCTTTCCAATTAGTTGGATCCCAATTTTTCGTTGTTGTTGCTGGCAGCAATTTGGTGACTGAGGATTTCAAGCCCTGATTAAAATATTTTACGTATATAAAACAATTATTTTTTTAAAAAATGCACCATCTGAAAGCAACAGTCAGGTCATATATTGGGTGACCTCGAATATTTGGCAGTGGGAAAAATCATTTAGGTAGACATGTAAGAGTTGTGGGTATTCAAACCTTTACATATTTCTAATAAAATATCCCAAATATTTTATTAGGAAAAAAATCCAAGAAAGTTTATTCTAATTCAATTTTGATTCCTCCTGAACTTTCAGCTGCAAAATAAACAAAAGTGAGAAACTGTATCCTCTGAGTATATATGGCAGTAAGTAAATTGGAAGAGGGAACTGTCAACAATTTTAATGCAAGTATGAAAATTACAGCTAGAAGAGATCTCAAATAAGAGATCACTTATTCAAGTCCCCACTTTTCAGGCCTTCTTCTCATCTCAAGTTCTTATTTGAAATCACTAGATCATAGGAGCATTTCGGGGATTTGCTGAGCCACAGAACTAGCCGGTGGTGGAAGGGAAAATGTAACTGGCGCTGAGTAGAACTTGATAAATATTCTTTCAATAAGTGTTTAAATAGATGAATGAATGAATGAATGAATGAATGAATGAATGAATGAATTGGGTTTTCCTTTCTTCTCTTGAGCAAATTACCTAACCTCTAAGAGCACAATTTTCTTCTTGATAAAATGAGACAAATAATGCTGGAACCTCTGTAGCTTTTCAGCTCAATGTGATAACACAGGTGTGGAAAGCATGTGTGTTACATGAGCTATTAGGATTGCTGCATCTCATTTGGAGAGATGAGTGCCAAATCCCATCCAGAGACTGTCCTTCTGCACAAACTTCCAAGGTAGAAAGGGCTTCTGTATTAGGTTTTTCCTCTCCTTTATGTGGATGGAAGAGGTAATTTTGAAGTCTCAGAAACCTTGACTATGGCCATCACCAGCTCATTGGAAACGTATTTATGAGCACATTCTTTAAGAAAGTGTAACAAATAGTTCTCCAAAACGGGCTGTGCATTCTTTTAAGCTTAGCACATAATTCTCTCTTACCTCTCTTGAATGGGATGTATAATTTAAGATTATTGCATGCTGTGCAGGGAAAATTAATGCTGTTTTCACCCCTTTCACCCTGCAGAACACTAAAGAGAGAATTTCCAAAGCTGCTACTACTTTCCTACCAGATGCTACTTTCAGGGTCAAAGCCGCTCATTGAAAATATTTATCACACCCTATAAATAAATCAGTCATAAATTGATAGGATTGCACGTCCATAACTGACTGGTGGGAGGAACCTGCCCTCACGTCCCAGTAATCATATATTAAAAGCCGCATGGGTAAACAGGCTCAAGAATGAGTTGTTGCTGCATTCGGAGCCAGCCTGAATCACACCTCTCCCACATATCTAGCATTTCAATTTAATATTCCTGGTGCTAGGGTTGCCTATATTATCAATGTCAAAAAAAAAAAAAAAAAACCCCTAAAATGTCTTATCTTTAACTTTCATTCCGGGGCTTCAAAAGAGCTTTGAATTTGCATCTTACTCTAGGGAAGATGTAGCTTAAACATTTTTGCCCAGCTTGCTCCATTAATTTCTGAGGAAATGCACCTACTGCTGTGAATATGACAGTTCTCAACCTTGGTGTTTTTACAGGATGTCCCTCCCCAGGGAACAGTCAGCACCATTCTGACTTCCCCGCTGGAGCCGCACCGCCTGCTGGGTAATCAGCTCTGCGCTCTGCAAGGGGAGACCTCGGCGGGGTGAACCCGGTGCCCCTTGCCAGAGCCAAGGAAAAGGAGAACATCAAGCTTTGCGGGGGTAGAAATGTTTTAAGTGATCACCTACATTCAGTTTGAAGGATAATTTGCAGATGCCTATATTGGCTCAATTATGAGCAGCACTTACTACTTTTTAAGTACTAGAAAGCTTTAACTTAAGTTAATCTTCATCATACCTATCAAATATTTCTCCCCAATTACTTCCATTGAGTCAGGAACAAAATTCATTTTGTAATGATTATCTGACTCAGGTAGAGCTGATTTTCTATAACTCTAGGCTAAAGCCACTGACAAGGGCACAAAAAGGATTATTTTTCAGCAGTTTTCAGCCCAGCTAAATCAGCAGATAATGGCATCTATGATGCAGAGTGATTCTGACCTAAAACCCCTCTCATCGTTAATGTGTCTCACATCTCAAATACGCCACAGAGGCAAAAATATTCTATAGACATCTCTACTGTCCCTAGAGAGCAAAAGGACAGGTTTAGGAATTCTTGATTTTTACGTTTTCTGTCAATTATGCAACAGCAATTGCTCAATAAAAAAAACCCAGAACTCTGTTTCTTTCTTCATAGTATTTTCATCTGAAAGAGCACCAGATGAATACGGAGACAGTGGATTTATTTGCATGACTTTGTTGTGTCAGGTCCTAGTGGTCTATAGGGGCCCAAATAAATAAAGACACCAAACAAAATTTCTGAATGCTGTAGCATGGGAAATAGAGACTGTCATTGACATATATTAGAGATTATTCAGAGATAAGCGGATGCCTGTTTCAATGTGAAACAAGAGAGTAGATTAGGCTGTGGTACATAGAAAAATTACATTCAAAATCATTATATTGTCTTATAAAATAGATCTCCGGTAGGTGTATCTTCTTTCTGTCTTTTGAGGACTATGCTGCTATTCATTTTAAGATATTTATTGCACAGTTATTAAATTAGTGTTTTTCATACGCTTAGAGTCCAGAGTCTCTTCAGTGGCCAAGGCTGTAGGTGGGGAATATGAGGTGGGGGGAGAAGAGAGGCTGCCATCTCCATTTCAATGAGAACAATTCAGAATTTATCTGCTTTGTCTGTTTGCCATATTAGGTCTCCACATAAGAAGGAAAAATTGAAAATCACTGGACAGAGCTATGGAAACTTTCTTTGTTTTTTTTTTTTTTGTTTTGAGACGGAGTCTCACACTGTTACCTGGGCTGGAGTGCAGTGGCATGATCTCGACTTGCTGCAACCTCCGCCTCCCAGGTTCAAGCAATTCTCCTGCCTCAGCCTCCCAAGTAGCAAGGATTACAGGCGCCCGCCACCACACCCTGCTAATTTTTTGTGTTTTTAGTAGAGATGGCGTTTCACTATGTTGGCCAGGCTGGTCCCAAACTCCTGACCCCATGATTCGCCTGCCTAGCCTCCCAAAGTGCTAGGATTACAGGCGTGAGTCACCGTGCCCAGCCAGAAACTTTCTTTACATATCTGGAGTCTAGCCAAAATTTCCCATTCAATATATATTCATTGAATGGATGAATAAAACTATGTATGTAAGTTGACTTTATTTTTTAGAATGACTTTCTAGTCTTTAAAAAAAATTTTTTATCATACTTTAAGTTCTGGGGGGTACATGTGCAGAACATGCAGTTTTGTTACATAGGTATACACATGCCATGGTGGTTTGCTGCACCCATCAACCTGTCACCTATATTAGGTATTTGTCGTAATGCTATCCCTCCCCTAACTCCCCATCCCCCTACAGGCCCTGGTGTGTGTGTGATGTTCCCTTCCCTGTGTCCATGTGTTCTCATTGTTCACCTCCCACTTATGAGTGAAAACATGTGGTGTTTGGTTTCCTATTCTTGTGGTAGTTCTAGTCTTTTACAGTGTATTAGTATTAACTGGCAAAATGTATTTGTATTTTAAAATTTTTAAAATTGAGCCCATCACAATATTCTATGGTAATTTTTATACACAGTATATTTTTATATATACAGTATATATTTTATACTGTATACTTTATACAGTATATTTATATATACAGTATATATTTTATACACAGAATATATACTGTATATATATATACAGTATACATATATACTGCATGTGTGTATACATATATGTGGGTACACATACATAGGTATGTATGTGTACATACACATAATTATATAATTACAATTTTGTCAATGGCTAGATGGCTAGAGATATATATTGAAAAAGGGCAACCCATAGGCATGTCTTGTCTCTTTAGTCAGTCTTTGCAAGAAGACCCAAAATCTGCTCAAGAACGATTTTTTTTTTCATTTCATTTTTTTGGTTGTTGTTTTTTGAGACAGAGTCTCACTCTGTCACCCAGGCTGGAGTGTAGGGGACAATCATTAGCTCACTGCAGCCGCAACCTCCTGGGCTCAACTGAGTCTCCGACCTCAGCCTCCTGAGTAGCTGGGACCACAGGTGCGTGTCGCCACCCCCAGCTAATTTTTTAAATTTTATTTTGTAGAGATGGGTTCTCCCTATGCTGTCCAGGCTGGTCTCAAACTCCTGGGCTCAAGAGATCCTCCCACCTTGGCCTCCTGAAGTGCTGGATTACAGGCATGAGCCACCGCACTCAGTCCTAGGATGGATTTCTTATTTAACAGTTTTCTCAGCCAGAGGTGTCTGTGAAAAACAACCAAATAAGGAAGCTGATAGAGTCTTGTCTTTGTTTAAAATTGTAATATTTTGTTCATCATAGATTATTTTTACATTCATTTTGATTTTTTAACATTATTTCATTAAAATATTGTTTAATGAAAATTTTAATGAAATAAATGAAAATGTTTAATGAAATATTGTTTAATTAAAATCTTTATTAAATTTTTGACACTTTCCTCTTTCATTTTGTGTCTGATGGAAGTGCCTCAATTACAAGCAGGATTAAGAAAAATTATGTCTAGATCAGTCAAATCCAAAACTATCTCTACTTTTATGACCGGAGTTTGCACAAGCACTCTTCTAAAATGTATGAATTCCATTTATTCTTGTAAGAATTCTACTCACAACAGATATAATTCTTTCTATTGTTCTGTAAGGAAACCAAGAGTGTAGGTAACTTCCTAGGATGGACATAATTAGGAGGGAGAAGAGCCCAGGTTTAACCCGGCAGGCTGGCTGCAGAGCAGGGCTCTCAGCCTTTACGCTGTGAAACAAAGACCCAATGTTCCAATTCCAAATAACTCAAAGAACAAGAACATGCTTACACTCCTACTCCCAAGTCAGGAGGATTTCCTGCCCTTGCCCAGCATCCAGAAGTCACCTCCCCTGTGCTCAGGAATCATCCCCTTCAAGTCAGGAGGATTTCCTGCCCTTGCCCAGCATCCAGAAGTCACCTCCCCTGTGCTCAGGAATCATCCCCTTATCTGGCCTCTTTGTCCAAAGAGGAGCCTGGCTGCAGGCATTATGGCAGGGGGCCTTTTGGGGGGCCCACCCTTCCTGCTCTCTACTTGCTGTTCTATATTGAAGTAAGGGGAATACCTTTGTCCCATGTGGTATGACAATTTGCCCCCAGGTCCCCAATTTCTCCAGCCACTCGAATGTCTTGTTGTAAGGGTCCTTCCACCTTCTGCCATAATACCATTGCCCTACTACCTCCCCTGTGTTTCCATCTCCACTGTCCTCTCTCAAGCATTGTCAAACAGCCTCCTACTTCCTCTCACAAATCAATGAAAAAGTAAGTATATACACTCACACATATCATATTTTTGGACAGGTCTGGGCAGGTGGCTATAGGCCTTGTTGGGGCTCAGAACATGACACCCCAAAATATGGCACCTTGGAAACTGAGAAAATAGTGGAAGCAGGTAGGTCACTCTTTGACCTTCTCTCTCCTTTCTCCCAGGAAGACCCTCATGTGACAAGTGTCCTGCCCTACACCTGGAGGGAAAAATGACACATAAGGACACCAAGAAGCATCTGAACTAATAAGCTTTGCTAAGTTGCCCCCAGCTTATTACCATTAGATCATTCCCTTGTGTCCTGCAATTGTGCTTCTGCATGACTGTCCATAAAAATACACAACTATTTCTGGGTCTTTGGGTCTTACCTTTCTGAGGACTCACATGTTACATAAAACTTTGGTTAAATACATTTGTTATGCTCTTTTCTTGGTAATATGCCTTTTCTTATAGGAATGTCAGCCATGAGCCTTGCAATAGGTGAGGAAAAGATACTATTTTTCTCTCCTATAACCTTATATAGCGAATATTAGGATAGCTACAAGTATCCAATGGGGTACCTCTTCCTATAAATGCCTGAAGTCGGGTGAAGTTAAGACAGTTAAACCAAAAGGAGCATCCAAGACTTGATCCCAGGTTTTTATAAACCAAGTTCAAAATTGTATTGGTTTCTTTCTTTCTCTGTTTGTCTTAACCTCACCATGCCTGCATTTAAATACCCAGCACAGCCGCCCATACAACTACCAATTCAGTAGTTGAAGGGAAGAGAACATGGCTCCAGTTCCTGAGTCTTCTTATAGACTGCTGCAAAATAATGCTTTAAATAAAATAATTAAAAAATTTAAAACAGTAACTAGAAATGTGATAATCTCCAACAAAGTGGATGTGGAATCTGAAATTTGAATTGAATTATCCTTCTGTCTATCCATGTTTGTATCCTCTAATGGTTGAAGCCATGTGCTGGAACTGAGATTGGTAAATGTAAATTCTAGACTCTACTTTTCCCCTCTTTTTCCTTGAAATAAATTTTATTAACCATTAAAAAATGCAATACTTGAAGTTCTCTTAAAATTAACAATGTGGAAGATAATAAGATAATTTGTCATGCCAGTCCAGGAGTGGGCATGAGAAAAATCAATATTCATTGGTTCTGTTTAAGTTCTCAGTAGTCAGTGCCGATGGGGGCCTTTCTAAGGATATGTCTATTTTCTTAAGAAAAAAACACCACAAACCTAAGCAAATTATGCAATAAATGAAAAAAAATTATGTCAAAAGGTAAGGTAGTAACTGGGACAAATAAATTAGTTATTTCATGTCAAGGATGTTAAATTACTGGTATTTAATAAAACTTTTTTTCACCTTACAATGTGTCGTGTTGCCTCTTGGTGAGCATGCTTTGTAGATATGCTGCTGTTGGAATTTGACTTTCCAAGGCAATTATCATAGGAATCAAAGAAGAACAAAAAATGGGAATAGCAAATACTTTTAGGAAACCATATTACTAAAGGGTTGATTAATGTTCACATATTTCTGAAGAGAGAAAGTTTGAAGACGTTTAAATCCAAGATTTTTAACAGAGGAAATAAATTTAACCTTAAAATGGAAATCCTGAGGAAGAAATGCTTCAGTAGGTTCCAATCAGCACGGGCTCATATAAGGTTGTGCTGCTCTCGGAGTGAGAAGGAACACGTGTTTTTGGAATTTTGTTACTATATCACTAAGCAACCTTGCAGGGTACATTTCAATGACCAGCCTTTTGTGCCACAGTGACAGAAAAATAGTACTTTACAAGAGAAACAACTTATCATCAAGCACATAGTGTAAAACAAGCTCCAGTTATACATACGTTTTGTGTATAAAAACTGGAAGAGTTAAACAGAGGGCTTTCAAAAGAAGCTTAAATGTACATTTTACTCCAAATTTATTCTCCACAAAGACCCAGTAAACTGATAATGACCAAACATATTTAAACTATTTTCTCTCTATGAAAGCTAATTTATTGTAGAGTTTAAAATTCCTGATTTGATCTTACAATACTTTGTTTAAAACATCAGTAAATAGAATAGTTCCTTTTGAATAATGTTTTTTTTTTTTTTTTTACAGAAGCTATATTTCATTTTTCTCAATTAGCAAATCTTGCACTGTGAATTGGCAGAGAGAAGACACAGTCACATGTTGGGAAGGAAAATGTTTCATTACCGCATATGTTATGATCTGAGATGAATCATGTCGACCGGAGTGATACCTTGTGCTGTACATAATAATCAGACTTAACAATAAAAAAACAGGCAGGGTCTCCTGTTTTCTTGTATCTGTACATAAAATGACTCTGGGGTTATAATTAAGTGATATTTTAAAGGCTTAAGTATAAAGATACGAGTCTCAGGTATAACAATTTAATATGATTTTGTTCACTTGTTCATTTTGAATAAGAATAATATTGTTAAAGGGAAATGTGTAAAATACTGTTATTTTAACATAACAGGGAAATAACCAGACAAATTAGCTTTTTACTTAACTACTCAACAATTTTCTGGAATTGGTATTTAGTAATATTTATGCAAGGCTACAGACATTTCAAAATGTCTTACAGCTTCTCCAACAGCTTGCTCTTCTGGCCATGAACTATGGCTTACTACCCTTAACTATAATGCCATTCAAAACTGTTCCTGGGCCCAATTTCTTAGAAAAAATATGCAAGTGTTTTCTAAAATAAAATGTTAATAAGTAAGTGTTTTTAAAGCTGATTATTTATAAACAAGCTTCATTTCTGTCCAAGTAGGAATATTATATTTGAGCTGAAGTAAAAACATTGTTTCTTAATTGCCACAATAATTTATAAAAGTAGCAGTGATCACAATTCATATTATATATATGGAGGGAGATGTATATAGATATATTTTTTCTTTCATATGTATATAAAAGAAAAGAGAATTTAGTGATTCTGGTTGTAAAACTGTAATGCAGTTTATTTCAGTTTAAATATGACCAAGATTATATTGTACTCTTAAGCCAGGAAGCACAGCATTGCAACACACCAAGTCAAAGTTTATGATACAACCAGAGCAACCCAGTAGAAAATATACCCATGACAATTGACAACTGCAATAAAGCCACTCGATCAAAAAATAATTTTTAGCTCTCTAACACCTGCAGTTCAATCATTTATTAATTTTACAAAGAAAGAGATTATGTATGTACTGAAAAAAATTCTGACATCCAGGTTGACATCTTACATTTACAAACTGATATACCAAAAGGAAGCAAAAGGCAAATTTACATAGGAGAGAAAAATGGGTCCATTGGAATCAAAAGAGGTTAGTAAAATGTAACGACTTTTCCAGAAACTGTATTTGTGAGGAAAGCTGAGGATTCCATGTGAAAAGCGTGTTAAATCAGTGAGTGCAAAGGCAAAATGCTAGCAAAAATAAAACACTTACAAAAAGCTGAAGTTTAGATTGGAATGATAAAAAAGATCGGCATCTCCATCAGGGACTTGGCAGCAATATGGAGTGAGAAACAGATCTAAGACTTCATTTGTCTGCTATAGATCCTGGGCATGCTAGTTGGAGAAAAATTCCAGCACTAATGTGTCATACTATACAAATGTAGTCGCTAAAGGAAGCTAGCGAACTGAAAATGGAGAAGTTTCAGAGCGCACTATACAGATGGTGGTCAAACATGCACGCTCAGTTGTGGCTTCAATTGACTGGAATTCCTATCTGAGGATGATACATGCAGAAATAGAAATTGCTCTACATTTGTCCCTGATTTTGTAAAATAAAATGCAGAAAATTGAAGCACATTTGCAATAACTGGATACAAGATGTAAAAAAGAAAATAAAGGAAGGGAATAAAACCAGTGGGCTAGCTAAGGGACTAGTCCATCTTTTGCTTTTTGGTTATTTATTTTTAATTTTAATTTTAATTTTTTGAGAGAGGGCCTCACTCTGTGGCCCAGGCTGGAGTGCAGTGGTGCAATCATGCCTCACTACAACCTCTGCCTCCCAGGCTAAGCCTCCTGAGTAGCTGGAACCGCAGGCATGCGCCACCACACCAATTTTTTTTTTTTTTTGTACAGATGGGGTCTCCCTGTGATGCCCAGGCTGGTCTTGAACTTCTGGGCTCAAGTGACCCACCTGCCTCGGCCTCCCAGAGTGCTGGGATTACAGGCATGAGCCACTGCACCAGGCCTTTTTTCTTATTTTTAATTTTACCTAGTACTGTGGCGATATCACTTGAAACTGACCCAAGTAGTGTTTTTGGTTGTAAGGTCTAAAATTTTTTATTCTGGAAAATCTTTAACATATATAATATAGGGTCAATCCAGATGAAAGTAATGAAAATATCTGCGTCTTTGAAAGACAACTTTTATTGTCATAAAAATCACTAACTTAAGACTTAACACTAAAAAGCACTCACATCACCAACATCTTTTAAATATATATCAATGCTAATTAGTCCTCAGCTGCTTCTTTCTTTCTTTGTGTTCTGCTCTGTTCCTTTCGACTCAGGCACCAGAGTTACAATTTTCTTGTAAGTGTCACCTTATGCTCATTTTCCTCATTTCTCTGCCATCCACACTTGAATCTTTTTTTCTAGAAATATACTTTGCAACTTGAATATTTTTTACTCTATTTAATTATTTTTGTACCATACTAAATTTTTTAATTTATTGAAATTGAACAATAAATTGTAATAACTAGATATCTGTCATAATATGCTTGTGATCTAATCCCTTGGATAACATGGTGATTTAAACATATACTAGTAGGCCGGGTGCGGTGGCTCACATCTGTAATCCCAGCACTTAGGGAGGCCAAGGCAGGCGGACCACCTGAGGTCAGGAGTTCAAGACCAGCCTGGGCAACATGGCGAAACCCCGTCTCTACTAAAACGTACAAAAATTAGTTGGGCACAGTGGCGGGCGCTTGTAATCCCGGCTACCACCTGGGAGGCTGAGACAAGGAGAATTGCTTAAACATGGGAGGCGGAGGTCGCGGGGAGCCAAGATCGTGCCATTGTACTCCAGCCTGGGGAACAGAGCGAGACTCTGCCTAAAAAAAAAAAAAAAAAAAAAAATATATATATATATATATATATACACACACACACACACACACGCACACACACACACACACACACACTAGTAAAATATTACCCAGTTCTCAGTTTTCACATGTAATAGAGTAAGTTCTGAGTTTTTACCTAAAATAGATTTGTAAAGTAATTTCAAATAAATGCAATCTATGATATTTTCCTAAAAATAGCACCAATAAAAAGTTTGAGAGAGGTGACAAGGAGGACCCACTGTTTTAGATAAAATAGAAGTACTGTGTTAATGTTAAGCATTTTTACAAGAAAAAGAATTCAGATGTAAATATGAGGGGACTATTTTACTTCAATCTATAAATGCTTAGGGGCAATATTTCACATTTTAATCAATTGTTTTCCTAAACATCAATATTAAAAAGTGTAGTAACATGTTCTGTCTCAAGTATGAAATCAGAAAGCCATATGAAATGTGTAAACTAGATAACTGTAGAGGGCTTGTTTTTCTAATATGGAGCTCGATGAGTGATTTTAAATAGTCCAAATAGTTATTACAATCTGACTGTGATGTGTTCTTCTTTCTACCTTCCAGGGAGTTTCTTATATTATAATAATGGATTCTATAGGAATAAATTACATACATACAACCAATTACCGTAAAGTGTAGGTGGCTCACACAGCATGATGGAATCACACTGTGGCATATAGTTTCCTTAGGACAACATCACCCTTAAATTCCAGGCCAGGCGCGGTGGCTCATGCCTGTAATCCCAGCACTTTGAGAGGCCGAGGCGGGTGGATCACAAAGTCAGATGTTCAAGACCAGCCTAATCAACATGGTGAAACCCCATCTCTACTAAAAATACAAAAATTAACTGGGTGTGGTGTTGCATGCCTGTAATCCCAGCTACTCGGGAGGCTGAGGCAGGAGAATCACTTGAACCAGTGAGGCGGAGGTTGCAGTGGGTTGAGATCGCACCATTACACTCTAGCCTGGGGGACAAGAGAGAAACTCCGTCTCAAAAAAACAAAACAAAAAAAAAAATTCCTGGAGACTCAGGCTCCTTCCACATAGGCATTATCCACCCACGTTTAGGTGGATGTCAAGAATTCCAAGTGATTGCTTGAAGTTAGCTATGGCATGTAGGCGGCTTCTGATGCACAATTTGAAGGTAAAGTGTGGAGTCAACTGAAGAGTTTTAAATAAGTCATTTTAGAAGGGAAAAGGTTATTTCCCAAGGAAGAGCAAGTGGCACAGTGGCACGGCGGGACCTAAAACCACTGTGTCCCAGTCCTTCACTCTGTGACATGGTGTGATGTGATGTGTGCATCTAGCAACTTCCTCATGTGAACTTTCCTCCGTCTGGTGCTCACTGTAAGCGCTACTAAAGTGAAGGGGGAAGGTGGAGTTTCAGCGCTATTCAGAGGCCTTGGGAATGTCAGTCCTATTGATCTTTTAAAATATTAGGTTGGTGCAAAAGTAATTGTGGTTTTGGCTATATATGCCTACAAAAATCTAACTTTTTAAAGCATAAAAGTTCTATGGGCTCTAGAATTCCGCTAAGAAATAAATATAACATTTATGTAACTATTTTTGCATATTTTCATAATTCTAAAATTATGTAGTTATTTGCATTTGACTTTATGTGATGTCACCTTTTCTGACTATCTTTCAAGGAGAGAAGTTCAAGAATAATCAACACAAAGGTAATTTCTAAGTAAAAGCACTCTTTGTTTCTGAGCAATCCCAGGCATCAAATGTTTGGTTGATAACTGTATGAAGAATGTGTTAGTCAGTCTATTCCATGCAAGAGAAAAAAATATATATCTTAATGAAAAAATAAATATGTATTTCTACCAAGTTTTTTTTTTTTTCAGTTGTCTTTTTCTCTGAACACATCTACATGTTTACCCAACTCAAGAACATGATTATGGAAACTAAGTTTTAAAAAAGGATGGGTACAATTTTTTTTCTTTCAAAAATCATATCTTTGAAGAATGAGGTTGAACTCCTTCACATCATAAGAAAATTGACTCAAAGTGAATTATAGTCACAAATTTAAAGGTTAAAACTATAAAACTCTTAAAAGAAAACATAAGAGATAATATGCTTCACCTCGGGTTAGATGACAGTTTTTTAGATATGACACCAAAGTCATCAGTGACAAAAAATAGATAAATTGGACTTTTTTTCTTTTTTTTGAGATGTGATTTCACTCTTGTTGCCCAGGCTGGAGAGTGCAATGGCACCATCTCGGCTCACTGCAACCTCTGCCTCCTGGGTTCAAGTCATTCTCCTGCCTCAGCCTCCCAAGTAGCTGAGATTACAGGCATGAGCCACCATGCCCAGCTAATTTTTGTATTTTTTGTAGAGACGGGGCTTCACCATATTGGCCAGGCTGGTCTCAAACTCCTGACCTCAGGTGATCCAACAGCCTTGGCCTCCCAAAGTCCTGGGATTACAGGCATGAGCCACTGCGCCTGGCTACTTGGACTATTTTTAAAATTGAAAAAAAAATATGCTTCTAAGAAAATAATTAAGAAAATGAAAAGAAAACCCACAGAATGAAAGGAAATACTAACAAATCATATATGTGATAAGGGAACTTGCACCTAGCATATTTTAAGAACTCTTGCAACCAAAAAATTAAAACACAATTAGCCTAATGAAAAATTGGGTCAAGAGTTTAAATGGACATTTCTCAAAAGAAGATATACACATGATCAAGAACCACCTGAAAAGATGCTTAACACCAGTCGTCATTAGGTAAAGGCAAATGAAAACAATGAGACACCACTACATACCCACCAGAATGGCTAAAATAAAAAGGACAGACAATGACAATTGTTAGTGAGGATATGAAGACATTGGAACCCCTGTATATTGCTGGTGGATTGTAAAATAACACGGCTACTTTGGAAAAGAGTTTGGCGTATTTTCAAAATGGTAAGCAATGATTTGCCACGTGAGTCAGTAATTCTGCTTCTGGACATATATCTAAGATATATGAAAACATGTGTCCACACAAAAATTTGTACACAAATGTTCATAGTAGCATTATTCACAGTAGTCCAAAACTCGAAACAACTCAACTGTCCATCAAATTATAAATGGATAAACAAAATGTGGTATATTCATTCAGTGGAGTATTGTTTGCCAATAAAAGGAGTAAAAAGTACTGCTACATACTACAGTACAGATGGACCTTGGAATCATTATGCTAAGTCAAAAGGCCAAAGAACACCATGTCTTGTATGGTTTTATTTATATAAACTACACAGAGTAGGCACATCAACAGACATTGAAAGTAGACTTATAGCTGCCAGAGACTGGGGGAGGGGAAAATGATGAAAAGTGACTGCTAAAAACTACAGGGTTTTTAGGGGAGGGTGATACAAATGTTTTAAAATTAGATATGGATGATGGTTGCACAGCCCTGTGGAAATGCTAACCACCATTGAATTGTCCACTTCAAAAAAGGTAAATGTTATGGTTTATGAACCATATCTCAATAAAGATAGTACACTAAGAAATTTGCTACCAACAATGACAACAACCAAAAATCTTTTAAAATTGATATCCATGTTTTATTAAATACTTATTGAATGCCTACTATTTTAAATATAGTTCTTAAATAAACACATAGTTTTTACCTTAAAGAGAGAGACATCCAGTTGAGTGAAGATAGGTGAATTGGGTAGGGCTGTAAGTAAGCCTAATGCAGCCATGGAATAATATGATGGAATAGGAAATACTCATAGAATGGGAAATGCATAGACTATGATAAAATAGAGAGAATGTATACAACAGGCAAGATAAAATAGGACACATGACCAGGGTAAATAAATTGCAAGGGCATTACAAATGCTGGTCAACCAGCATAAGCATCAGGGAAGATGTGGTATTTGACATGGATGTTAAAGAAAATAATTTTGATAGATAGGATTTGTGGAAAAGGAAATTCCAGGTGGAAGAAATTGCATAAAAAAGGGCCATGGGTGGGAGGGCTATGTTGTTTTTTATAAATGGTGGGCCTAAGCTTTGCTGACCATAAAGGTCTTGTAGAGAGAGATCAGACTATGATAATGAATTATGTCACGTTACCAATGGTCTTGAATACCAAGATGAGCTATGTGTGCTTACTGTGTAGACAAGACAGAATAATTCCAGCTGTTCGTTTGCTGTGGAGTGATACATTTGATATATTCAACCCAATACAGGTGATGCACTAGTACTGAGGTCACAGGGATGAATAAGGTAAATATGTGCCAGTTCCTACCCTTAAGGAACACATTATGTAGTGATGCAGAAAAGTAAGCCAACGTTGAGCATGCAATGGAAAATCAGTGTCATCATTGATGGAATCCCTACAGATGGAAATGCACAGAGTGGGAACTTGACTCAGCTGGAAAAGTGTGGTCAGTAGGAGTTTCCCAGTGGGAATGACACGTGAGTTATGTTTCAAAAGGAAAAAAGGAGGGAAACAAATCCAAAGAAACAAACAAACAAAAAATTCTACTTCTGGGGACAATTTAGTAACATGGACCAGATATATCATGCTGCCTTTAAAAAATTTGAAAACCAGGCAAAATATTTGAAAAGACAGTTTTCAGACATTGGATGACGGCAAGCATAGGATTCTGATCCTTGAGAGAAAAGAAATAAAGAAGTGAGTACTAAGATTGTCCCAAGCTACTGCCTGGAGGCAGTTTTCAAGCCACAGCACAGCAAGTGAAACCCCAGAAGAGCCAAACCACCTTACTGGTATAGAACACAGAGAACTGAGTTCAGGGAGACCAAGGCAGCCTGACATGCAGGGCAGGGAAATGGAAAGGACTCTGGAGGTCGGCAAATGGGTCCCATCCCCTGGATCTTTAATTTATACATGAATAAGAGGCAATTACCCTAACTACTACTACTGGAAATTCCCGGCTATTTCTCAGGGTTCCTAAGAGCTTCTGTTCTCACCATCTAAAAGGAAAGACATCATGACACATAAATAATTTTCTACATTTCTCAAATGGGATATCACTTTAATATTGAGGTTAAATTAGCCCTGGATCAAGTTACTTTGGACCTTCCCTATCACAGCATAAAAGCAAATCGGTCAAATCCATTCCAAGTAACTGAACTGTACCCAGGACAAGGCCCAATACTTTTGTTGGAAAGGAATACGTACAACAGAGTCCAGAATCCAAAAATGTAAAATTCATAATGTCTGGCATTCAATTCAAAATTACTAGGCATACCAAGAAGCAGGAAAATATGACTCATATCCAGGAGAATAATCAAGCCATTGAATCAACAGATTTAGACATGAGAGAGGATGGAATTATCCGGAAAGAACATTAAAACAGCTATTATAAATATAGACCAGATACTCAAGGATGTTGAAGAAAACACAAACATGATGAGGATAAATATGAACCATAGAGAAAAGAAACCCAGTGGAACTTCTAAAGATAAAAAATACAATATCTGAAATGAGAAACAAACTGGATAAGATTAATAGCAGATAATACATTGCAATAGAAAAAACTATTGACCTTGAAATTGTAGCAATAGAAATAATCCAAAATGAAGTGCAGAAAGAAAAGACTGAGGAAAAATCAGCAGAGCATCAATGACGTGTAGAGGAAGCTATTTAACATATGTGGAATAGAGTTCCAGTAAGTAGGGGCAGAATAGAAAAAATTTGAAGAAATTATGGCTAAAATATTTTCCAGATTTGAAGAAAATCATAATCCCTCACATCAAATTAACCCAATCAATTTTAAATGCAATAAACAAATAAAACCACACCAAGGCACAAAATAATCAAATTGCTAAATAGCAACGATAAAGAGAAAAGGTTTAAAAGCAGACAGAGGAAAAAAACACACAGGTGTAGCAGAAGAAAGATAAGAATTACAATAGACTTTGCGACAGCAGCTATGAAAGCTGGATGACAAAGAAGCAAGACCTTTCTATCCCAGAAAAAAAAAGATAAACAAAAAGCAAGTCAACCTAGAATTCTATATTTCTAGTGAAAATATTTTTTCCGATAGTCTGATACAGTGAAGCTTTTTCTCTTCAGATAAGCAAAATCTGAAAGAATTCATTATCAGCATTACAAAAGCTATTAAAAGATGCTTATCAAGCAAGAGGAAAATCATAAAGTCAGAAATTTGAATGGACATAGATATAGAAACATAGATATTCTATGTAATAAATAGAAAATAAACTTAAAAATTTTTAATCTCTTTATAAGATAACTGACTCTTTAAAATAAAACCAAGTAATGATGCATTATGGAATTTATACCATACACTGAAGTAAAATGTATGACAATATTCCTGCAAAGAAAGAAGGGAGGAAATGAACCTACACTGTTGCAAGTTTCTTACCTGAAATGTGAAGTGGTATATGTTACTGAGTATGTGGTAATTTAACTGGGTGTATTGTAAGCCATGAGCAACCATGAAAAAAAAAAAAAAGAACTATAGCTAGTAAGGCAGTAATACAGATAAAATGGGATACTGAATATACTTATTTAATTCAAATTAATGCAGAAAAAAAGGTAAACAAAAGAAAAAATATCTGGGCAAATGGCAAAATATAGTAAATTAGGAGATTTTCACCCAGTTGTATCAATAATGACATTAAATATATTTTATGAGCTATAATATATAAAGAAAAATAAGCACCAATTAAAAGGCAGAGATCATCAGATAATACAAAAATACAACACTCCACTATGTGCTGGCTACAGTAAACCTACAGATAAAGTCATGTTAATGGTGAAAGATGGAATGCTTTCTCCCTAAGATCAGTAATAAGGCAGGTCGTCTATTTTCTCCATTTCTACTCATATTTTAACCCTAGCACGTTTGGAAATTAGAATTAAAACTGCCTTTATTCACACATTGCAAAGTTGTCTATTCACTTTTCCCATGGAATTTACAAAATAGTTCACAGAACTAATAAGTAAATTTTATTACATTGCAGAATACCGTGTCAATTTGCAAATGTCAATTGTATTTCTATGTATTTGTGACAATATAATAATGGAATTTATACTACAATACCATTTAAAGTAGCAACGAATGTCATGAAATATGTAAGGATAAACTGACTAAAATACATACAAGATCTTTACACCAAAAACTGCAAAACATTGTTGAATGAAGAAAAGTGAAGAGAGGTAAGTGAAGTGAAAATCAGTGAAGAGAGATACCATGATCAGGAGACTCAATATCGTTGATGTGTCAATTTTCCCAGATTGATTTATATTTTAATGATATGCCAATAAAAATTTCAACAGGTTTTTGAGGTTAAAAAGAAGATTCTAAAACTTATATAGCAATGCAAAGGAGCTAAAATAGTCAAAGTAATTTTCAAAGGAAAAGCAAAGTGGGAGTATCTGTGGTACCTAATTCAAAATTTACTATAAAACTATGGTGATGTGATGTTGGCATGAAGACAGACATAAAGATCAATGGCACGGAATAGAGTCTACAAATAGGACCCATCTTATGTGGTCAATTCCTGATCCCAGATAATCCAGTGAGGAAAGTGTATACTTTTTAACATGTAATGTGGGAAATATTGGATATCCATATATAAAAAAATGACTGTTACCTCAGATCATTTACAAAAAGTAACCTGAAATGAATCAAAAATCTAAATATGAAAACCAAAATTATGTAAATTCTAGAAGACAATATAGGAGGAAATTTTTATGGAATAGAGAAAGATTTCTTACATAAGTTACCAAAGATTCAAATCATAAAAAAATTGATGAAGTCTACCTAATCAGTTTTAGAACTTGTGCTCTTCAAAAGACACTTTTCAGAACGTGAAAAGGCAAGTCATGCTCTGGGAAAATTACTTGCAGAACATATAGAAAGAACTCCATAATAAATATTAATATATTTTTTAAATGGGCAAAGGAGTTGAACAGGTACTTTACAAAAGAAGCTATCCCATAACTAATAAACACATGAAAAAATATTCAATGTATTTAGTCTTTAGGGATGTGCCAATTCAAACCATAATCAGATACCACTATACACCCCTTAGAGTGACTAAAACTGAAAAGACTGACAATACCAAGTTTTTGTGAAAATGTGGCGCAAATAAAAATCTCATATATTCCTCATTCAAATGCCAAGTGCTAAGGCAACTTTGGAAAGTAATTTGGCAGTTTCTTAAGGGTAAGTATGTACTTACCATAAGACAAAGGAATAGCACTCTCTAGGTATTTACTCATTGGAAATGAAAATACATGTCTGCACCAACAATTGTACTTAAATATTCATAGCGTCTTTATTCAAAATAACAAGGGAATTGATTACAACTTAAAAGCCCATTCATTGGTGCATGAATAAATACAACACATATATGGATTTGATGAAATAATACTCAGTAAAATACAAAGCAATGTATTACCATGCAAGGAAGAAAATCTTTATGGAAGATTATATTATACTGGAGCAATGCATCAGATGGATTGGATTAATAAGGAGTTTCAAGGAACGAGTGGGGAGGCCAAGTGGTCATAAGGTCTCAAATTAAGGTTGGACCAGAAGAGAGAGAATATGCAAAGTAAACTGTTCTTGCCTTCCATGGCTATTTGAGTAAGTTGTCACAGGTAGCTACTACGCACGCATCTCTTGTTTTTTCAAAAAGCATTTATTTATGACCATCCAAGAGGACGTTTCACCCAAGCAGTTTACAGCAATGATGGATTGGGTTTCACCTTTAATGAGAAAGTTAGAATAATGGACTACTAGGGCAGATATTGAGGTTAAAATGCAAATTGTGACCTAAAATATCTACACTGATTCACTGTTCTAAAAGCAAAAAACCTCACTCAAAGATCAGTTTTTTTCTCCGATCTGATGAGCAGTAATATTCTATCTTGTAAAACAATTTAAGACATAGTACTTTCCTTTAACCCTCATTTCAGATTCTTTGTGATTACTGAAAAGAATATATTATCTTGATTTTTAAGCTAACACTATATATGAGGATACAGATTTGCAAGATTAGAAGGTTATTATTCCCTTTATAAACCAATTGTTTGCGGTACAATAGGAATTACTTTAGGACATCTTACAGTGTGAACTCCACTAGTTCTTTTAAAATTTGCTTTAACAGACAAGTATGTAAAACACATACAGTATCAAGCAATGCATAGGTATACTTAATTTTAAATTTAAAAATAAGCTATGTAGTGGTAATAGGAAAACTAAATACTATAGAAATACTCCTATTTCACATAGTGAGTCACAAATGAAATTCACACCTAGAATCTGGTATTCTTTATGTGAAACCTTTTTAATAATTACAGGTCATCTGATTATATAATCTGAACAGGATACTAAAATGTGAGAATAAGAATTTAAATTCAATTGTATTCCTCTTTTAGAATGCTTATATTTGATTTTTTTCTTTGTAATTGACTACCTGACTTCTTTATTTTGAATATAACTCTTGTGTCACATATAGACTATCTACCATGTCTTCCTAGAGAGGAAAAAAATCAATGAAAATAGTATGAGGAGCTCCAGTAAGCCTGTTTTTGATGAATTATGTCCTTAAAGATATACTCTGTATGTGGTTCAAAACATATTGATCAGTAACAACTGTTTCTGTAACATCAATAATGCACTATTCTCTTGAACTTCCCCTGAAGTGACAGGGTTTAATCGAGAGAGCCCCAAACAAAAAAAAATGACTACCAAGAAGGAGAGAGAATAATGAAGTTGACTTGAACTTCCAAAATAAATTCTAATTTTAAACTTGAGGGAAACATATTGATGTCTCTGTTTACATTGCCCTTTGTGTCTTTCACACTAAGCCGCTCACTGAAGGAGTTGGTATATCACCAAGTTTCAGTGCCTACAGAGTCCATTTGTCATCTACCTTTTCATATGTTATTAAATATTAAGAAATTATTAATAAATATAAATCATTTTGAAATACCACTTTCACTATTTTAAAATCAGGTTTTTCTAATATAAAATACTAACTTAGAATAAACTCTCCCTATTAGGTTTGATTTACTTTCTCTTGCAGTGTTTTGTTTCATGACCAATTAAGTAATCTAGGAACTCCAATACTTTTAGAGACTTCCTCTAGAGGAAGACTTCCTGGTTGATGCTGTCCCTTAGATGTGGAAAAATTTCTCTACTGAGTGTTCAATCTGCAAATAAATTACTCCAGTGAAAGAGGTGAACTATATAGGGTAATTTTCTATTCCAAATGTCTACCATTCTATGGATAGTTCTTAATTAAATTTTGTATTTATTCAGAGAAGTTAGAGAATGTAGACTTGCAATTATAAATGTAGTCTTGTGATTTTTTAAATGTAAAAATTTCTAGTACATTATTCACTCAAAATATTTTCTAAAATATTGTAAACAGAAAATTTTTAATAATCTGTTTTACACATTTTTAAATCCTCCTCTAAAAATTCTATAATTTACATATTTATATATCTAATCTTCACTCATCAATACAAGTACTGAATAATCACAGCACCAGTATTGCCCATCTCCACTATCAACCAGCTCCCATTTACTCATCTTGCTCACAAGTTTATCATGATAGAAGAGTTGATATAGAGATACTAGCTTAGAGTCCTGCCTCCTGCTTTATCAACCTAAAAGCTATCAAAATAAAGTGACACATTTTGACAAAAGTTGTTTTAGTAGTTCTGCTGAATTTTCTAAGCCCTCGTTCGTTCCTTGGTTTTAAACTCTTAACTGCCTTATCTGTGTTATGTCAACATCAGAACAAATCGGTTAAGAACTTGCAAGGAATAGGTTAATGGTCCAGGGCTCTCTAGACAATCGAAGGATAAATTGAGGTTTTATACATCAGGGATCAGAATATTGGCTTTGATATCGGACAGAATTCAGACCTCAACTCTGTCACTTAATAGCTTCATATATATATACACATATATATATACACATATACATATATACATATATACACACACATGTGTACACACACACCTACACACACACACACACACATATATATATATATACACACACACACACACACATATATTTACCAAGTAAATCTTTCTCAATATCATATTTTTACAATGTTAAAGTTGGGAACAATAATTAATGAATGATGATTTAATGAAATATGCCACATAGTGTCCAGAAGATTCTTTGGTTAAGAGACATTCTCAGTGAAAGCTGGCTACCTTTGCCCTTCCCACCGTAGTGTGAGAACAGTGATTTAGCTATCAAAGCTATTAATATAGCTGATTTCTATTGTTGGAAATGCCCCCATTCTATAATCTCACTTGATTCTCTTGTTAGGACAACCTGCCGTTAATATAGAAAAAGTTGAATCCACTACTTTCAGAATCTTGAGCCTCTTTTCTCTGTTGAGATTTTTTTAAATGCCATTAATATATATATTAAAGAATAAATACCTCGACACTCCACTAAACCCTCAACAGATGATAATGCTTTGTTCCATCAGATTAGCACCAATATTACTTATAGTATATACAAGCAACCAGATAATCTTTAATTTAATTACAATTTTAAAAGACTGAAGTTTTGCTCACATGATTGGTTTCCTATTGGACTCAATATCTTAAAAAGTGATTCCCTTGAATACTAATCTAATATTAAACTTTGAAATACTAAGTCTTTTAAATATGTGTTTAGAGGAGTTCATGTTTTATAAACCTTTGTCAAATGTTACTCAAACATCTTTTCTTTGTATTTGAGATTTTGCTGGTAAGACCTCTGCTCCATGGCATCATGTGGGGATGTTAGAACCTAGAAATATTCTTTTGAAGACTGATTGTCATAACATCATTGTCTATCCTTCTAAACCACTGTAACAAAAAACAGCACTTAACATGGATGAAGAAAGGGGACCTCACTCTCCTCACTCTTTCTAGATTAACAGGCTGCCTCTCTCTTGCATTGGTTTGCTATACCTAGTACTTTTAGAAGAAAAGAACCAGCCACATGTCTTTTAGTAACCTATCATAAGTTCTCTTTTTGTACCATCTTAAATTAAAATATTATTTAGCACCTACTCTGATCCCGGTTCTCTTTCAGGTGAGGGGGATACAAGATTTATTCAATAAGGTTACTTGTTCCGTGTCTGGAGGTTGAGCAGAGAATAATTTGGGGGCTGGCATACAGTCATGTATTGCTTAATGATGGGAAGGTGTTCTGAGAAACCTGTTCTTAGGTGATTTTGTTGATGTGCCAACTTCATACAGTGTACTTAAACAAACCTTTAATCTGACCATATCATATATCTAACCATACAAAAGTAGGTAGAACTGACTACACACCTAGGCTGTAAAGCACAGCCTATTGCTCCTAGGCTGCAAACCTGTACAGTAGGTTACTGGTTACTCTACTGAACTGTAGGCAATTGTAACACAATGGTAAGGATTTCTGTATTCAACATAGAAAAGGCACACCAGAAAAAAAAAGTATAAAAATGGTATAAAAAACATAGAAAAGGCACACCAGAAAAAAATGGTATAAAAATGATATACAAATGGTTAAAAAAAAAAAATTGTACGTCTGCGTAAGGCACTTACCAGGAATGGAGCTTACAGTACTGGACGTTGCTGTGGGTGTCAGTGAGTGGTGAGTGAACATGAAGGCTTAGGACATGCCTACACACTACTGTAGACTTTATTAACATTGTACACTTAGGCTACCCTAGATTTATTTAAAGCTTAAAGTAATTGCACTATGATATTACGATGGCTACACTACCACTAGGCAATAGGAATTTTTCAGTTCCATTATAACATTAGAAAACAGCAGTCCACTGTTGACTGAAACATCGTTATGCGGTACATGACTGTATATTAAACCAGTTTAAGATAATGTGCTAGTCAGATGTAGAATAAGGGGCACCTTGAGGGGTATTTCATGATGTAGAATGTTATAGGGCAGGAGACAGTGTGGTTTGCTTCAGGAAGCCTTGTAAAGTTATTTGAGCTTAAAATATTAGTATATGAGTTCCATGACATTAATAATGATAATTATGCCATTAGATCCTACTTATTAATACTTAATATGCAACAGGTAATGTCAGCCTGGTTTTACAGACATTACTTCCATTAATCTTTACAATCAGACATTAGAACTTCTTATTTTTATTCCTATTTTACAGAAGAGAGGTCAAAAGCTGTACAGTGTTAATGAACATGCCCATGATTGTTAGCTAGAATACACCACAGTGACAGAACCACATTTTAAACCCAGGACCTTCTGATCACTGTGCCAAAGGGTCTCCTGTGAGTTTCTTCTAAGACTTGGAGCATTCCTGTGCTGGCCAAGGGGAGTTCCTGAAGACCTGACTGTCATAAAAAATTCAGGCATCCCTACAGGACTAACGGAGGTTATTGGTTGGAGTGAAGACTTTGCTGTTTCCTCTCAAACCATGCAGGATAGAACAGCGCTATTTATGAACATCCCTGCTTTGCATGCTGGTCCACCTTCGGTCCAGTACATCATTTCTTCATCGTCTTTGGGTGGGCAGGGGGAACTACGCTTTGAGTCTTGTGCACTAGTTATGTCTCCCCTGACCTTTTTTTTTGCTATCAACTTTTACATGACTCTTCGTTAAGAGTTTGGCAACTGGATGTCTCCAACCCAATCACTTCTGTCATCGGATGGCATCATCTGGCCTCACTATGTCTTCATATCCACATTCTTAGTGACCTTTTCCTCCACTCCATCTCAACTATCCTCTTTCAGTGCCACAAAACAGGATGTCCATACCTAAAACTCCACGTTGAAATATAGAATTCAGACAATCTGCTGTCCCTCCCCAAGCTTCCCTCCACCTAGCTTGTTTGCTCACTTATTCTCACTAAGCCTATTATTCGACTCCATCAGGACCTTTACACCAGACACTTCCTGTCTTTCCTTTGTTTTCTATCTTGGTTAATACCCATGGCCTCATTTGTCAATCACTCCCTTGTCGTCGTCTTGCAGTCTCATATACCTTTGTTCCTTGCACAGCTATTTGGAGAATTCCATTGTGAATTAATACAAAGATCTGAGTTTTCCTGCTCTAGAGCTTCTGGAGAAAGTCTTTCAGCACTCTAAATACTTATAGTCATCAACCTTAATAACCTCTCAGTAGTGCTGGGCAATCACACTGTATATTTCTCTAGTTTCTCTTTTTTGTTGAATGCCATGATTATTTCAAACATTCTTTACTTAGCTCAAGCCTATGACTTCATATTTTCCCATTGTTCTCAATACTATCTTCCTTCATACAAATACTTCGAAATCCTGCCACCAAACCAATGAAGTCTTTTGGCATTAGTATCTATGCTTTCCTCTTTGCTTTTTCTGTTAAATGAAAGTGTTAGCCCTTTTCCTTTTTAGGACTATGCTCTGCACAAAATTGCTGGATCTCATCTCGGCATTTCCTCAGGAATTTTAAACTATCATTTTGTATTAGTCTGTTCTCATGTTGCTAATAAAGACATACCTGAGACTGGGTAATTTATAGAGGAAAGATGTTTAATTGATGCACAGTTCAGCCTGGCTGGGGAGGCCTCAGGAAACTTACAATCATGGTGGAAGGGGAAGCAAACATGTCCTTCTTCATATGGTGGCACCAAGAAATACCAAGCAAAAGGGAGAAGAGCTCCTTACACAACCATCAGATCTCCTGAGAACTCACTCACTATCATGAGAACAGCAGCATGGGGGTAACTTCCCCCAGGATTCCATTACCTCCTACCAGCTCCCTTTCACAACACGAGGGGATTATGGGAACTACAATTCAAGATGAAATTTGGGTGGGGACACAGCCAAACCATATCACATTTTTAAAAATTTCCTTTTACTTCACAATTTCCCATACACATTCCTATTTATCTCTTCAATTTCACAGCCAACTTTGGAAACAGTTGTATGTGTTTGTCAATTCTATTCTTTATCATCCATAGAACAACCATCTTCAATATGGATTTTGCCCACTCTTCTATCAAAACTCTGTTGCAATGGCTACCAATGATGTTACTGTTGTTTAATTCAAGGGATACTTCATAATCTTCATCTCACCGCGCTTTTAGCACCATATTGAAATGCCCTCTTCTTCCCTTGGCTTCCATGTTGCCGACTCTCCAGGTTTTCCTCCCACTTCTCTGGCTGTTTCTTCTCATTCTCCTCTCCAAGGTGCTCCTCCAAGTCCCTCAGGTTGCTTTCTGTTCAAGATCTTAAAAAAATCTCCCTATGTTCTCTCTTTGAGCAATCTCATTCACTATTCTGGCTTCAATTGCCATCTAAAAGTCAATGTCTATAAATTAAGATCTTTGGCCCAGATTTATGACTTCCAAAACTACAAACAGAACTTTTTTCAGGATATATGCATCTTAGGTATTCTGCATCCATTTCAAACTGAACATAAAAACAAGGAACATTACCATGTTTTCTCCATCCAAAAATATGAGAGTCATTGTTGGCCCCTTCTCTTCTTCATCTTTAACCTACCCAATCCATTCTCTTTCTGATCCAGCTGGAACTCATGCATTTGTCTCCAGTTCCTCCTCAGACCCCTACACCTTCACTCTTTTCTTCTTCCTCAACTGGTGTAAAATCTTCCAGATTGGTCTCTCCTATCCTTTCCTTTCTACATCTGTTCTATTCTCCACGCATCAACCAGTGTGATGATTTTTAATAGAAATCTGACCTCATCAGTCTCCTACCTAGATTCCTCTAATGGTTTCTCACTGCACTTGGAGGAAAGATCAAATTTCTTTAATGGTGTCTGCAAGGCCCTGTGTGACCTGTCCTTCATGCATTGCACCAGTATGTTCTCTTCCTGTTTTTTTCTCTGTTTGCAGGCTGTGCTCTAGACATCTGGGTTCCTCTCAGTTCCATGAGAATGCCAGGCAGTTCCTCAGCTCAGGAACTTTGTCCATGTTCTTTCCACTGCCTAAAATACCCACTCCTCCTTACGTTGCTAATTCAAGCTTTAAGTCTGCTCCAATATTACATCCTCTACGTAACCCCCACCCCTACCCTCTATAATGATGGTTGCTTTGCCTGTTACATGTAAACTCAGGTAAAATGTTGGACTTTAGTTTTTTCATCACTCAGAACAAACGGTGATGATAGCACAGTGTAGATGTAAGAAGCTCCATGACCCCCAACACCTGGAAACACGATCCCTGGCATATAAATATGTGTAACCTGAGAGAATGCTGCTTACATTAAACTTCATTAACTGAGGACTAAAATTACTTTTCTTAAGTGTTTCTTTTGTTGCCATCATTCAGATCAATTATAGCTTACAAGTGAAAATTATTACAGTAGCATATTCAAAGTGAGATTTTCATTCTCCTCAGTGACACCACATGTTATGAAAACATTAGTTCTAGAATCGCGCATGTAGGTTTAAAGAATGAAGATTCAAGAGGTGCAGTCTGATGTGTTCTATGCCTTCTACTGAGGAAGGTTGTCAAAACATGAAATGAAATTTAAATGATGACATAAGAGTATGAGAAACTGGTGTCATCTGAACAAGTCAGGTCGCATTCTGAATTGGATGCGCAAACACTCAGATAAGTAAAATGATACCGAATGGCCACACGTTTCTCCTTGTTTCATAGCAAATTACCTTGATCCAAAAGACAATAAAATTGTTAGGCGGAAAAGGAGCAGATGCCCTTTTTCATTTAAAAATCCTTCTGTCCCTAGGAAGAAAACGATTGTGTTCCTTCACAAGTTGTTTTATTTCTGCAAAACTACACTGAAAGTGTTTGCAATGAATATTACTCAGGTATGTAATATTGACCTTATTACTTACCCCAGTAATATGGAGCAAATACTCAGATGTTACTCCAAAAACGTTATCATAAAGAATAGAACCCATTGTATCATTAATTATAGTTATGTATTAAAATGACACATTTGATTATAAATGTTGCTACGGCGAAATCATCAGACAAAACTCAGGTATACGCCTGAACTTAATTTGGATATTCATAACTTTCAAGGGCTTAAGTTTTTTCTGTGCTAAGGGATGCTATTCTTTAACCTGTTAATGTAATATTTTCTAAGGAAATAAAGATAACATTTAAATGCATCATTTCTCCTACATATTAAATAGTAGTTTAATGATAATTTACTTAAAAATATGCGGAATGACATAAGCATTTAACTAAGAATGTACCATATCATTTTGCTCTGAAAGGAATTTGTTTCTTAATTCTATTTAATTTCTGCAGAACTTAATGAATGCTGTCAATGAAAGAATATGAAGACTGATTTGGGTGTCCAAATACCAAACAAAATTAACTCCTTTCTTAATCATATGTTGTTATTTATTTATCTATTCATTTATTTTTTGAGATGGAGTCTCACTCTGTCGTGCCCAGGCTGGAGTGCAGCGGCACGATCTCGGCTCATTGCAACCTCGGCCTTCTGGGTTCAAGCAATGCTCCTGCCTCAGCCTCCTGAATAGCTGGGATTACAGGCACCCACCACCATGCCCGGGTAAATTTTTTTGTATTTTTAGTAGAGATGGGGTTTCACTACATTGGCCAGGCTGGTCTCGAACTCCTGACCTCAGGTGACCTGCCTGCCTCGGTCTCCGAAAGTGTTGGGATTACAGGCGTGAGCCACCACACCCGGCCCTGATTATATGTTTCTTTCTAACTTTCAACTACAACTTTTGTTAAAATATAGTTTCCTATAATACTCTTATTACTCACTTTTCTCCCCCTTCCTTTTTGAAATAATTAGACTACCCAAGTAGTAACTCCAAATTAAATCTATTCCAAATTGACAGACAGGAGCCACATCTCAGGATCACAGTGTGTAGTTAGGTCGGCTCAACCCACCAGCAATATTGAAAAATGATATATATCATAGACCTACATGACAGGAGAAAAACTGCACCGTCTTGATTTGCCAAATCATTCATGCTCTTAATTTCATTAAGGTATTTTTAGTTTTTAGTAATTTGGAAAAGGTGATAGGTGACAAAGTCAAAAAATAAAGTGTAAAAATATGGTGTAAAATTCTAGCTATATGTAATACCTATAAAATGTATTAAAAAGTTCATTTCCATTCCAATAACACCTGTGACATTTAGATGTTCTATAGAATTTCTGCTTTCAATCTCTGCCAGTATCATATGCTGGTATTTAGTCAGAGACCTTAAAATAGTTGAACACTCAGAGGGTATATGGTGGAGCAAATAGTAAAATTTTATGCTCTTCTACTTTTTATAATTCTTGTTTATAAAGTGTCTAATAAAATTATAAGTATGTTTAGAAAAACTTAAAATTCCAAGTAAAAAAAACTTTAAATGCCCACAGTAAAAAAACGTGAAGCTGCAGTCTTTATAAAACTTTGTAATATATTCATAATCACCACGACCAACAATAGTATAACAATAAAAATTAGATCTACATATCCTATCTTCTGAAATAAACTGCTTTTATGCAGATGAATAGAATTTGCTCATCAACAGAGCCAATATCCTTGATTTCCATTTAACAATCTCACTAATATACAACAGATTTTCCTTCACGTAGTTCACGACACACTTGTTATAGATTTTTTTCCTGGTGACATTTATCTTTCCTGTTTTATGAACCAAAGCTATTTTACATTTTCTACCTCTTCTGTATAAAATTCCCATTAATAATTACTGGATTTCGGCCGGGCGCGGTGGCTCACGCCTGTAATCCCAGCACTTTGGGAGGCCGAGGCGGGCGGATCACGAGGTCAGGAGATCGAGACCATCCCGGCTAAAACGGTGAAACCCCGTCTCTACTAAAAATACAAAAAATTAGCCGGGCGTAGTGGTGGGCGCCTGTATTCCCAGCTACTCTACTCGGGAGGCTGAGGCAGGAGAATGGCGTGAACCCGGGAGGCGGAGCTTGCAGTGAGCCGAGATCGCGCCACTGCACTCCAGCCTGGGCGACAGAGCGAGACTCCGTCTCAAAAAAAAAAAAAAAAAAAAAAAAAAAAAATTACTGGATTTCAAAGACTCCTGTCAACTGGACACTTGATAACAGCTATTTTTAACTGATGTTAAAAGAAATACGATGGTAAGGTTGAAGACACACAAAATCACCTTCTCTCTCTCTTTCACCGTCTCTCTCTGCTTGCGAGTTTCCATTTGTAGCATTGCACACTTACACGCACAAAGACAGAGACAGCAAGATGTAATTGATTTACAGAAGTACTACGGCTATAGGCAGGGTGCAGAAAAGGTATAAAGAGAGAAAATAGTTGTTTGACAGTCTTTTAGAAGTGTGTCTGAAAGAATGACAGGAATGGCTAGAATATCAGAAAATAAGCTCTTCCAGAAGACAGAGCTATCAAAGCTGCTGGCCGCACATGGGTACTCACCGCTCCCCAGACTTCCTAGGAAGCCGCTCCGGAACTCCAGGGTAGGTTGGCTGTCAGCAAACACAGCGGGTTGTGCCTAGGCCTTCTGGCTGGCTCTGCCAAGGCAAAGGATAGTGGCCACCCAGCCTTAGGGTGCTCTTCCGAGGAAGCAGCTCTTCACCTGGAGAAAGAAGGGCATTTTTGACACAGGGGCCAACAAATACCTAACAATTACACTAGGTAATTCCCATGAATTGCATTTTATCGGTAATCCTTCTATTTACACATTTATAATTATTTGAGTTTTAAAGTATTTTTATGGAAAAGAGAAAAAAAAACTAGATTTGATATAACCATGCATGCGTAGGTATACAATATCCACTCAAGATATAGAAAAAACACTGAAAACTTATGGTTGGCTATAGTTAGGTAGCAGATCCATCAAGACCCTGGTTCTCATCTTGCTGGCATTGGATTTAATTTTGCTAGGATATTCAAGTTATAGCATTCAAGTCATGTGATAATGTATTTGGGCATATCTAGCTTGTTCACTTTGTAATAACACACATTATGGATTCTGGTAGAAACAAAAAATTTTAAATATGTAAGGATTTTTCCTTCTAAAAGGACAGATTATATTATTACTTCCAGAGAGTGTGGGAGAGGGCACAACTGCTGGGAGAAGTCCCTTCCTCACTCCTGGTGTTCCTCTCCACTGTAAGGCTACTCCATTAGTAAAATAGTCCAGGCAACTTCTGCTCCCTCATTTCTTCTGCCATAGGGAAGGAGAAATTATTTGTTTGATTGTGAATTTATGAAAAATTCCTGGGCAATTTTAGGCCAGATTCTTCCTTTCTCTTTCTCTTGGGAGCTGGCCTCTCTTGAGAAAACATTTGCTCTTTGTTGTTTTCCTATATGCCATAAGCTTACTGAGGGTCAGGTGCCATCCAGGATGTGGGGAGGGGAGGGAGTAGTGGCCATGTTGGTTGTGTAAATTGAATTCAGGGGAATGCTGATGATGGCTCACTCTGGCACTACAGTCAGGATTCCTGATCCCTGTCTACCTCTCCAACCTCATCTTGTGCACACCACCCTCATGTACACCATCACACATGGAAGAGTGGCCGTTTCCAATTACTGGAGCATGCTGCACTCTGCTGCATTGGGCTGTTTCTGCTGACATCCTCTGCCTGGAATGCTCTTCTCATTAATTTTATTATAAAATTATATGATTTACAATAAATTATAAAATTATATTTTTAATAATTTTATATAATTCTAATACATAAATTATATATAATTATATATAAAAGGAGGAAGTTGAACATTATTTGGGCGCATAGTGAGAATTATATTCCAAGACCTTCAAGACTGTCTTAGAGGTGAAATTTCCCTGCCTCTTAGTATAAACCCCCTCCCTCACTGCCATACATCAAATTCCAACAAAATCCAGAGATTGAGAAGTACATGAGACATCTCCTTTCACCTTTTTACTTTCAGCTGCCTCCTTTTTACCTTTCAGCCCCGATTTGAATGCCACCAGCTCAACTAGTCTTCTTAAACACCCTATCTAAATACTAACTCTCCTTCCAGTACTGAATATTGCAATAGTCTGTTCGGTTCCTAATACTTAACACATTCTGCCATTATATTGTGGTTATTTTGTTGGTTTGGCTTCTTCTCCTGGGCTCTACGCTCCATGAGGGCAGGAATCATGGTTGTTTCATTTACTTACTACATGGTAACTATTCACCCAACATTTCTAGCATAAATAATTGAAAAGGCACTGGGAGATGTGGAATTTTAAAATATATTCAATGTCTCAGATATATTAAGAGGGACGTAATTGTTGAAGATCATCATGAAATGTTTTTGACATGAGAGTATAAGAAATGTGGTGTTGAAATGATACTATCTTCACAGATTAAGCAAGAGAATACCCAGAAAACATATGAAATGTTTTGCTGTATCACACAATGTTAGTAGGTAATAAGCAAGCTGGAGATGGAGTATATCATTCACCAACAGTATGTACCTGGAAAACTTTGCATGAAGCAAAACATATTCACAGAAACTATAGTACTATTTGAGTCTTGTCAATAGATTCCAGCACAAGAGAGAGTCTCCAAAGATATTCCAAATGGCCAAGAGGAAAACTGAACAGACAATTGCAGCATATTCTTTGGGAGACAGGTGTACAGTGGGTAAAGCCAACACAACCTAAGTTTTTTACACTACTCAAAAGAATTGAGAAGTAAAATTGTTCATGTGGTTTTCCCCGTGAGCCAGCAAAAGGCATGTTAGCCATCACCGTGATGGTGGCCACAGCCTTGAAGACCACAGCTGCAGTGCCCACAGTATTTGACGGCCTCAAAATAGGGACTAAAACCACAATTCGTAACATGTCATAAGATAATAGGTTTTGGCGAATGGCAGTTTACTTTGCAGATGAGTTTTTAGTAATTACATTTACCAAGGAGTGTTTTCTCTGCTTATAATCAATCTGTATCCCCTTGTAAATCCTCTAACTCATAGGAAGAATACAACAGCAAAGAGGGTTTCTGAAAACAAACACAATGTGAAACTCATTATCGAGTAAACTATGACTACATAGGAAAGGAATAGAGCCACATTTGTCCACATTCTGGGCTTTCCAGGGCCACCGGCGTGGGTTGAGCTTTGGACCTTCTTGGATACCAGACTGGCCCTGATCAGAATGAAACACCTGGTTCATCCAGGGAGGAAGCTGTGCAGGAGATGCTGAACAAACTAAAATCAGACTGCACACTGCCCCCAAAGACTAGAATTTAACAAAGGGACCCGCAATGCAGTCTGGTTAAACAAGGAGCCCTAGAGATGTACCATGCACTTCTCAATCTCTGAATTTTGTTGGGATTTGATGTAGGGCAGTGAGGGAGGGGGTTTATACCAAGAGGCAGGGAAATTTCACCTCCAAGACAGTCTTGAAGGTCTTGGAGTATAATTCTCACCATGTGCCCAAATAATGTTCAACTAAACTGTAGACAGACACTTACATTATGAAGGACATTCGTTAAATTACTATAAATTCAGTGCTTTTTGAGAGTAAGTTATTAAACAATTATCAACAGGTGGTGATTATATGTTATATAATAAAAATATACAAAACATAAAATGTAAATATATAAAATAGAAAATAGAAATATATTTTAGTAAATATGTAAGTATATTGGTAATATAAATATATCAATAGATGCACTTATAATATTAACATATATATTTATGGATATATATTTTTCATCCTGAAAAAATATAATTATTCCTTAAAACAGTGAGAAATATATCACTGTGCCACTGTACACTTCAATTCCTCATTGTAGTCTTTTTTCTCAAAACATTGGGAAGGTTTTTTTTATACAACAGCTTCGCTACATCAATACAATTATCACCTCCAAATAGATGCAAAGCTCTGTGGTATTCAAAAATACATGATATCTGAACTTGTTTTATATGATGTGTTTCCTTGTATTATTTTTTCTTGGTTATATGCATGTGTGTACATACACAGAGCACGTTAATGTGCTTCATTTCCAACCAGTGTGTTCCTGGAAGGATTCCTGCCCATAGAGTGACTGTGGAAATGAGATATTTGGGCTTTCATGTCATTCTCTCAGAGTGTGGGTGCATTGCCAGGATGTAATGGAGATTATAGCTTAATAAATGACTCAATAGTCAACCTTCTAGAAATGGTCGTATTTAGCTTTCAGGGTAATGTTAACTTCACTGTGGTATTAGTAATCTCATCAACTTTTTGGTTAGGGATGGATAAATAACTAGCTTTTAGTATGTAAATTACCAACAAAAACGTTTCGCAGAAAATGGGTCAGGTTAGAGATGTAAATGAGGCCTAAAATGTCTCATTAGGTTTTGAATTGCTTTTTTTTTTTTTTCCCCAAGCATTATAAATCTTGTAAGCTTTTGGGGTAATTTTCTTGCTTGAATAAGCTAGTAAGGTCTTTTCCAATAATAAATGAACTAAAATACTTCTCAAAACTAATTCTGCTTGAAAATATAGAACAAATTGAATATCAAAGTATAATTTATTTTAGAGTTACTCGATATTTCTGTCTCCTAATATTTTTAGGTAATAAGTTGTAGAGATCCCATGTATAGATTTCATCACGGACTTTGTGTTTGGGTACAGAGAGATACCTCTATCAATGGCTCTCCTTTAAAATCAATTGTATATCTGAAGGATACTTATCAGATCTTGCAACAAATCATTAACTACAGAATATGAGTCTATCCTTTGTGAAGGAATGGATCTTCTTTGATTTAACAAAACGTCTCTCTGGTTCTCTTCTGACAAGTCCCATTTGTAACACTCATTACTAATCCTTATTTTCAGAACAAATAAGATGCAAAAACATGGTCTTGCTCACAGCCCTGCTCTTGGGCCAGCTTGCATAGTTAAAGGATAACTGCAGATCCACACGCAAGGCGACACTGCCTTAGATCTTAGGAGATGCTAATAAAACAGCGTCACATCAGAGTGTGACTGTCACTAGGCAGTCTCACACATCTCACTTTTACCACACTGGTTTCTATTCTACAAACCACTAATTTGCAGCAGCCTGAATTAGCCCCGTGTGACAATGTAGGAAGTGTTTGTTGGTTACTCTCATCTCTCACAGCATCGCCAATGTTTAGGACAGTTTAGCATTTCAGACTCATGACAGGGGGCTGCATTTTTGTCACTCTAAAAGCTGCAAAAGTGAAATAGTAAATACGCAATTACATCAACTACCTATATTTAACTAGCTTACAAAAATCTAAAAGGGAAATCAATCAACTCGTTGTCATCATTTGGTTTGTTTCTGTAGCGAGCCTAATTTAGTACAAACAAATACAGTTCATGATGATAAAACCTCGTTAGGATGGCTTTCATTTCAATTGCCAGTAACAACCAGTACCACAATTTGCCACCCCCAAAGAAAGGCAGCTCTTTCCCAAATATCCACTGCAGTATTTGCCTGCTCCTTTAGACATTTATCTTTTTTATTTTTATTTATTTATTTATTTATTTATTTATTTATTTATTTATTTATTTGGAGATGGAATCTCACTCTTGCTGCCCAGGCTGGAGTGCAATGGTGCGATCTTGGCTCACTGCAACCTCTACTTCCCGGGTTCAAGAGAGTCTCTTGTCTCAACCTCCCGAGTAGCTGGGATTAGGGGCACCTACCACAACGCCCGGCTAATTTTTGTATTTTTAGTAGAGACAGGGTTTCACCAAGTTGGCCAGGCTGGTCTCGAACTGCCGACTTCAGGTGATCCACCTGCCTCCGCCTCCCAAAGCGTTGGGATTACAGGCGTGAGCCACCACGCCCAGCCAGACGTTTATTCTTTATACTTTGCTACAGCAAGCTTTCTTATAGATGTTTACAAAACAAAGCCTTTTCTATTTTCTCTAAGCAGTCCACATTACATGAATGTATATATCACATGTTCTTACAGATAGAGTTTGTTTTATTAATTTTATACCTTAAGAAAAAGATATGAGATTAAATTCTTCACAGATGGATTTCATTTCAATTTCCCTGAGCTGCCTACTGAAGTTTTACAGGTAAATTAAAGATGTTCTGACATGTTTTAGCAAAGGGTAAGTGAAGGAGGTGATGCAAATACAGGCAATATGCAGACCTCGTCTCAGTGGGTTGAAAGAACAGAGCTACTCAGGTGTTATGCTACTGTTTTATTTCATGTATTTTGATGGAAGATAGTTACTTCAGATAGACAGGGCAGATAATCTGTGAGAGAAATATGAGTCCCGACATGTATTTATATAGGCTACATTTTGCCATGTCACCTTTTTCTCCTCACTACTAAAGTTCTAGTATTGGCTTCCCTAAATCTTACACAGCTTTTCTTGTCTAGCTTCAGTCCACTGGGTATTCCTTACACTTTCATGTTGGTTATGTCTTCTTGTGGAAGTCTAGTTGGGCTCTTTATTCAAACACTGACCTCCTCCATAAGGCACTGCGAGGCAGGAGGCACATACTACCATCCCTATCCTTTTGGTTGCAATTACTGATTTAGCTCTCTTATAAATGCAGAAAAGACTGTACTCTATTTTCCACTTATTTAGAAATAATAATAATAGCTAAAATCCCCTGGACACCCATAAGGGGCCGGATGTTCATTTTATCCTTCAAATATTCCAGAGGCAAGTATAATTATCGGTCCCACTCTCTAAATGAGGATTCTAAGGTTTAGAGAAACCAGGTACCTTGACCAAAAATGTATAGCATGTGGTGGTACCAGAACTTGGAAGCAGACAGAATGACTCTAAAATCAGCACTCTACATATCATCAACACAGAGTCTCTGTTAATCACATGCTTCTTATGCTCATCCTACCTTCTAACACAGGTTGTCACCTGCGTTTGAGCATATAAAATCTGGAAGTGTTAGAACTCTGGTGCTCTCCTGAATCCAGACCAACGAGTCCTTACTCCCAGCTCCAAGTTGTTGTGGAGGGGCATTTGTTCTTCCTGATATAAAGACTCATACTAGCTGGAACCCAGTTTAGGTGGCAGTTCATTATGCTCCTGTCATTTATGTGGCTAGGTAATGTCTCTGGGAGTATGATTATATTTTTGGGTAAAGTCTCTCGGCATAATGAGTTCAAGAATTCCATTACCAATAATAACACCTCTCATTTGTTGAAGTCCTTATAACATCCAACGTTTTCACAAATATGAACTCATTTTATTCTCAATGTAGCTCTCTAAGGTAGGCAGAACAAATATTATTATCCTATTGTGCCAAATGAGTACAGAGAAAGGATGGAAGAGAAACTGACATTTACTTAGCATTAACTACTTGGGAACATGATTCTAAGTACTTTACTGAATTCTTCCTTTCTGTTCTCATACCTTCCTTATGGTGTATACGTATTTAACCACATTTTACAGAAGACGTAACTGGAGTTCAGAGAGTCTAGTTAACAGCTTGTGAAAGAGCGGAGATTAGAGATTAGAAGTCACTGAGATCATCATTGTTCCCTTATAACTCAAATTCAGATGGCAACACTTGTTCAGTGATTACACATAGCCTTGTGTTATCAGCTATTTCATGCACAGGTTGGCATCTTGTTTCTCTGGGTAGGTCTTCATTTGGTTAAAAGAAAGAATCATGTTTTATTTTCTTTGAACCACGTAGAACACACACTTTTAAGCTATGCATGAAAGGCCAAGTTAATACAAATACCTAGAATTTGAATGTGGTCTGGAAGTAAGAGGAGGCTTTCCTCGCTTGCGCTTTTATTTGTTAACCCAGCAACTATATCTCTCAAGCAATTGCAGACATGTACTGTGATCTTAGAAATTCCTATTTATTCGTGGGACATTCCTCCTTAGGTGAGATATTTCAAGGGCCTGAATTTGAACTCATTATATTGTCCTATATCCCCTGAGACTCAGAGAGTTTAAAGTGATGTGTCTGAAGCTGTGACTAGTAAGTAGCAAAACCAAGGTTGAACCACATCTTTGGAACTCTCTTTTCACTGTACCTCTCTATGAACTAATGTTTGTAACAAACTGCTATTTTTGTTATATATATGAAAGTATAGGCTAGGTGCAGTGGCTCACGCCTGTAATCCCAGCACTTTGGTAGGCTGAGGCAGGCAGATTGCCTGAGCTCAGGAGTTCGAGACCAGCCTGGCCAACATGGTGAAACTTCATCTCTACCCAAAATACAAAAATAAGCCAGGCGTGGTGGCAGCACCTGTAATCCCAGCTACTTGGGAGCCTGAAGCAGGAGAATCTCTTGAACCTGGGAGGCAGATGTTGGAGTGAGCCGAGATTGTGCCATTGCACTCCTGCCTGGGCGACAGAATGAGACTCAGTCTCAAAAGAAAATATGGATCCCCAGAAATTTGAAGGATACGTTTTACTTAGTAAATAATCAATGTAATATCACGATGACAAGTGAAATTGTTAAAAAAAAAGTCTTCTTTAAATAACAAGTTATCACAATATTGATTGGCTAGAACAAGAAGAAACATTTACTGGTTATTGTAACTAAAAATCAGTGAGCTGCATATAGGAAATGTGACATTTTTCTCATTGGTCTTAGTCTGTGTACACGCATGTGTTTATAAATAACATTTTATTTTGAAAGTACTCATTCAAATCAGCTTTCTATTTATGAATCTCATTTTATTTCCTTCTGCCTCCCTCATGCTGTTTAGAGAGAAACATAATTCTCAGAAAAAATATGAAGCTCGGTTGCATCACAGTACATAGCATATATTGGTCAAACAACATACGTTTGTTGAATGAATAAAGAATGATGATAGGCCAGGTAGTTAGTTTCATTGCAGTGGCTGAGCTGACCATTGCATACGATATAGTAACATGGAGAAAGGAATTATGAGGAATACACATTCTTAGCCATATTCCATGAGTGTAGGACAATTCTCCAGGTAGCTTTGGACTGACTCACTTCTCTTTCCTTTCTCATTTGTAGTTCTCAAGAATAACTGCAGGCTGGTCACAGTGGCTCAAACCTATAATTCCAGCACTTTGGGAGGTCGAGGCAGGAGGATCCCTTGAGGCCAGGAGTTTGAGACCAGCCTGGGAAACATAGTGGGACCTCAGTTTCTCCAAAAAAAAAAAAAAAAAAAAAATAAGCCAGACAAGGTGGTATGCACCTATAGTCCCAGCTTCTCAGAAAGCTGAGGTGGGAGGATCATTTGAGCCCAGAAATTTGAGACTGCAGTGAGCCTTGATCGTGCCACTGCACTGCAGCCTGAGTGACAGAGTGAGATCCTGTCTCTAAAGAAAAAAAAAAATAGAATAACTGTAGAATGTGCGAGGAATGCAGTACCTTGAGATAGGGAAGAACTCCCAGAAATAGCCAAGCCTTATGTGTTTTCCTCAGAGGAAATGCAACATCTTGAGATAGGGAGGAACTGCCAGGGGAGCTGAGATTTGTTCCTGTCTCCCCAAGGAGCAGAATGTCCTCAAGGCTTTCCCCGTGAGTCATGTGGCCAGCCCCTAAGATATATAAAACGGCCCCTCCATCTGTCCCAGGCAGCTTTCATGAGCCTTAGGAAACCAGCTCACAATGGATCCTGGGCGTCTTTGCCCCTTCCTGCCCAGCAGTAACAAATAAATCTGCTTTATATAAAACCTGCTGCATGTGAGTGTATTCTGCTTCACCAGACTCAGCCAATTGGCAAAACTGCAGCCCAGGTGCAGTGGGGACAAGCGTTCAACTCCTATGCCCGGTGGTTGGCACAGTGATAACCTTTGCTATCACCCACATGGGGGAAGTCCTCCCTTGGGATTGGTTATTAGTGAACCTGCTTCCCAGTGAGATCACAGATTGTATCTGAATCTCACCTCTATATACCTGGCATCAGGTAGAGTACTAGGACCATGTTAGACATTCAGTGCATATTTCTTGCACTGATGAATGCTTCCTGCTCACAAGCAGCCTGTAATCCAGGGGAGCAGGCATATGGAGAATGTTTTTCACCGTCTTCCCCGTTTCTGGGTTCAGTTCTTAAAAAGGATGACCAGCCTCCTGCAGATATCAGGGAAGAAGCATTGCCTTTTCTCTCACTCACTCATCACTTAGGCAAACCCATATTCTAGCCTCATGTGTTCTGTTGGATTCTCTCTGCGCACAGGTTGCAGGATATCTTCTGACTCCTACTGGTCAGGGCAGGGTTTTCCAGCCCTATGGGCAGGCCAGAAATCTCTACATCTGGCGAAAGGTTTGCTGTGTAGTTGCACCTGTTCCCATGCATTTATCTGAAGCTCTAGATTGGGCAAGGATATAGCAAGAGGCTCAAGTCCCAGCCATGTTCTCGTATCCAGCTTGCCACTTATAATTATTTACGTCCGTATCTGATTCCTTTGCCTATTCCTCATTATTTTTCAGAATGCAGAATGTAGCAATCACAGCCCAGTGATTACGCATGACCCAGACCTCAACAGGAGATGTGAAATGTGCTTAGAGTTGTTTCATTTTTTCAAAACAAGCTAATTTGATTTTGTTGCTCAGTGGGAAGACTTGTTACAATGGTGTATCGAAAGATTATTTTCAAATCATGTTTTTGACTTTTGTCAAAAATACCCAATGTTTTAGCTATAATACAGTTCAAAGGGTCAAAAATATTCCACCTTCAAGGATTTAAAGTTCAATTCGTTCTCCAACCTTCCGCAACCCCAACTTGAACTATTATGTGTTAGATTCCAGGAACTGGTGATCAGGATGGGGATGCCATCATTTCTGAGAGTCAATTCAGTTATAGCAGAAGACAAAATAGGAAAATCTGGCTCTGCCTCTTTGAGGTTCATGACGTTGGCCAAGCCATTTAATTTCACGAAACACTAGTTTCCTCATTTGTAAAACTGGGATGTTAGACAGTTGCCTCCAAGATAACTTCCAGTTCTAATATTCCACTGTGGGAGGTTCCAACTGTGGCATAAGATCCCAGAAATCTCTAATTGCTTCAAAGATTGTGTCAGGAGACAAATTAGATCATACAAGATTCAGAATACAGACTTACCTCACCACACAAAATGCCATCAGTTAATTTTTTATTGTTGCCATAATGGCTTTGGCAAAGTCATCCCACTTTTGGATGGTGTCCTTTTTCATTATAACTACTTTACCACCAAAAATAAAAAGTAAAAATAAAAATAAAAACACCTAAGAAAACAAAAACAAAACTCCACACTAAATAAATACACTCTAAAAAGTGATATTTTGACATGAGGGTTTCAGGCAAAGATAGAATACATTTGAATCATACACCATGTTTGGATGAACGCAAGATGTTTTCGCTCTGGATGGATCGTTTTTGTAAGAGAGGCGAAGAGTAACATTTTTACAGATTTTCAGTCTGATATGCATGCGCTACTTCCAAGTATTTCAAAGGGCTCTTGTACTTTGCTAATGTGGTGTTTTTCTGGACTAAAATTTTATTTTTAAAGTTCAGTTTAGGAGTAAAAAATCCATGAGCTCCAATAAAATACTGGCAAACCGAATCCAGCAGCACATCAAAAAGCTTATCCACCATGATCAAGTGGGCTTCATCCCTGGGATACAAGGCTGGTTCAACATACGCAAATCAATAAACATAATCCAGCATATGAACAGAACCAACGACAAAAACCATATGATTATCTCAATAGATGCAGAAAAGGCCTTTGACAAAATTCAACAACCTTCATGCTAAAAACTCTCAATAAATTAGGTATTGCTGGGACGTATCTCAAAATAGTAAGAGCTATCTGTGACAAACCCACAGCCAATATCATACTGAATGGGCAAAAACTGGAAGCATTCCCTTTGAAAACTGGCACAAGACAGGGATGCCTTCTCTCACCACTCCTATTCAACATAGTGTTGGAAGTTCTGGCCAGGGCAATCAGGCAGGAGAAGGAAATAAAGGGTGTTCCATTAGGAAAAGAGGAAGTCAAACTGTTCCTGTTTGCAGATGACATGATTGTATATCTAGAAAACCCCATTGTCTCAGCCTAAACCCTCCTTAAGCTGATTAGCAGCTTCAGCAAAGTCTCAGGATACAAAATCAATGTGCAAAAATCACAAGCGTTCTTATACACCAATAACAGACAAACAGAGAGCCAAATCATGAGTGAACTCCCATTCACAATTGCTTCAAAGAGAATAAAATACCCAGGAATCCAACTTACAAGGGACGTGAAGGACCTCTTCAACGAGAACTACAAACCACTGCTAATGAAATAAAAGAGGACACAAACAAATGGAAGAACATTCCATGCTCATGGGTAGGAAGAATCAATATCGTGAAAATGGCCATACAGCCCAAGGTAATTTATAGGTTCAATGCCATCCCCATCAAGCTACCAATGACTTTCTTCACAGAATTGGAAAAGACTACTTTAAAGTTCATATGGAACCAAAAAAGAGGCTGCACTGCCAAGTGAATCCTAAGCCAAAAGAACAAAGCTGGAGGCATCACACTACCTGACTTCAAACTATACTACAAGGCTACAGTAACCAAAACAGCACGGTTACTGGTACCAAAACAGAGATATAGACCAATGGAACAGAACAGAGCCCTCAGAAGTAATGCCACATATCTACAACCATCTGATCTTTGACAAACCTGGCAAAAACAAGAAATGGGGAAGCGATTCCCCATTTAATAAATGGTGCTGGGAAAACTGGTTAGCTATATGTAGAAAGCTGAAACTGGATCCCTTCCTTACACCTTATACAAAAAATAATTCAAGATGGATTAAGGACTTAAATGTTAGACCTAAAACCATAAAAACCCTAGAAGAAAACCTAGGCAATACCATTCAGGACATAGGCATGGGCAAGGACTTCATGTCTAAAACACCAAAAGCAATGGCAACAAAAGCCAAAATTGACAAATGGGATCTAATTAAACTAAAGAGCTTCTGCACAGCAAAAGAAACTACCATCAGAGTGAACAGGCAACCTACAGAATGGGAGAAAATTTTTGCAATCTGCTCATCTGACAGAGGGCTAATATCCAGAATCTACAAAGAACTCAAACAAATTTACAAGAAAAAAATAAACAACCCCATCAAAAAGTGGGCAAAGGATATGAACAGACACTTCTCAAAAGAAGACATTTATGCAGCCAAAAGACATATGAAAAAATGCTCATCATCACTGGCCATCAGAGAAATGCAAATCAAAACCACAATGAGATACCATCTCACACCAGTTAGAATGGGGATCATTAAAAAGTTAGGAAACAACAGGTGCTGGAGAGGATATGGAGAAATAGGAACACTTTTACACTGTTGGTGGGACTGTAAACTAGTTCAACCATTGTGGAAGTCAGTGTGGCGATTCCTCAGGGATCTAGAACTAGAAATACCATTTGACCCAGCAATCCCATTGCTGGGTATATACCCAAAGGATTATAAATCATGCTGCTATAAAGACACATGCACACGTATGTTTATTGCGGCACTATTCACAATAGCAAAGACTTGGAACCAACCCAAATGTCCAACAATGGTAAACTGGATTAAGAAAATGTGGCACATATACACCATAGAATACTATGCAGCCATAAAAAAATGATGAGTTCATGTCCTTTGTAGGGACATGGATGAAGCTGGAAACCATCATTCACAGCAAACTATTGCAAGGACAAAAAACCAAACACTGCATGTTCTCACTCATAGGTGGGAATTGAACAATGAGAACACTTGGACACAGGAAGGGTAACATCACACACTGGGGCCTGTTGTGGGGTTGGGGGAGGGGGAGGGATAGCATTTGGAAATATACCTAATGTTAAATGACGAGTTACTGGGTGCGGCACACCAACATGGCACATGTATACATATGTAACTAACCTGCACATTGTCCACCTGTACCCTAAAACTTAAAGTATAATTTAAAAAAATCCATGGGCTCTAAAAGTTTCAAAATTGGCAAATAAAAATAATTATACTTTTGTTATACTACCTTTTGTATACAAATTATATATAAAATTTGAAAATTTATGTTCTAGTTCTTTACTTATAAAAGTTTGCTTGCTTTTATTTTCAATTAATATATTTTTTAAAACTGTGAACAATCTTTGAGTATCTTTGCTTGGCATAAAATGTATCATAAATTTTTCTAAGCAAATTGAAAGACATTACTATTTTTTACTTAACTCTTTTTGAGAAACTTAATGGCAGGTTTTCAGGAATGAGTTAAAATTGTAAATTCATAAAGCAAGGGATAGGTGTATTCATGTCCATCTTCCAACCTGAATAAGGTTGTATGTATCCCATTCTGAATATTCTGATTAAAAGAAAGATATATTCCTTTTCAGCAGACTGTGGCAACTTCAAAGCTTATAAAGGCACTCCTGGCATCTCCATTCCAGCGAGGGTTACTGTGTGTGTGTATGTGTGTGTGTGCGTGTCCATGCATTGAAAGTATGTCAAAGCTAAACTGAGTTTATAGAGAGGTATAGAGAGAAGAGATGAGTGTCCCTTTAATAAGCAAAAAATTGAGAATTAGAGAGCATAGACCTAGCTGGAAAAGGCTGAGACAGATGAAACTTCAAGCTGCCTTCACACTCATCAGCAAAACTTCTCTCCAAAGTTTCTATTCAAATGACCAACTGCCTATACGTACAGCTCTCTGACCTCTGGAAATGAAGGAGGAAGGAAGGAAAGGAGGAAAAGCACCTTCTTTCTGGAAACCTGTCATTCAGTCTCTGACAGGAATTTACAAAAACAGGTGCAAGCTCATGTCCTACTAAGGCAACTGAGTTTTGCCACAGTGATTTATATATGAGTAAATACTGCTTCCATCAGCATGGTTTGTTTAGTGTTAGATCCCGAACGCTTCTCGCATCTGACGCTATCCATGCATTCTTCATTCATTTCATCAATAGCATCCTCCTAGACTTTCTTTGACATGGCTGCCCCATTCTTTTAATCTGGTTTCTCAGAGGTATCCAGTTTCATCAAATCTCTTTTATGAAATATATATCTACTTCTGCTATACAAATACAATAGGTAATCAGCACTTTTTCTTGCATACGCAGAAATGTAATTTATCTATTTGAAATTTCTATATTTACTTCCTTCATTAAGAATAATTTTTATCAATGTTTTGCTATAATCAAAACCGATATGGCAAAGCTGCAAAATGTCAAATATCTTAAGAAATAATAATTTAATGGATGGTGCATGAAGGGAGAAACATAATCATATAGCAGGCTTATATCTTCTAAAAATGTAAAATAAAAACACAAAATGTTTTAGAGAAACAGTTATAGATGGTAACATTTACACGAATCAGATCTTTTAATATGAGTACACGACTTTAAAACAATCAGAATTCTCAGCTTGAATAGGCTTGTTAGGTTTTTTACATGCTGGTTATTTCCAGATCATCTTCCTGACCTTTAGTCCGCTTAATTCTCAGTGGCAGTGCAGTTCAGGTGCTCAGAATATTGCAGTTTCAGTTCATCTCCTCTACCCCAGACCCAAGTCCTACCTGCATATGAACTATCTATCATGTCTTAGAGGAGGTCAAGGCACTCACTCACTACATGTGTTCCTTCTGGAAACTGTGATGCTGTCTAATGTACCTGCTCACAACGGCTACCCAAAGCAAGATGTCACATTGATCCAGCCGTCACTGGAAGCTGGGCCTTGTGGAGGCAGAGAGAGCTGTCTTGCAGGAAGGGAGACCTGGTCGCGACATGCATGCACACCCCTCTCTGGCAAGAGGCAGCCCTGCGCTTGTCACTAGCTTTGAAGGCAGCTCGCTTCACTGACACAATGCTCAGCAAGGAGAGGGAAAGACTGCAGGGAGTGTGCTGATGGCCACTCTCTAAGGACAGAGGAAGAATAGAGAGTCAGGAAATTGAAAATAAATAATACAACTCCCTTTCTGATGTAAAGTGCCAAAGATTTCAGAAGGAAATGCAAATCCAGCACAAAAGACCTTTGTTTTCTTTGCTTGTATTTTGACATTTTCCTAGAATCACTTGATAGCACTCACATTAAGCTTCATTTCAGATTCCCATCCAAAGTCAAACTACCAGATGCAGCAGAGTGTGACAAACCTTTCCGAAAGAAAAGACCAGAATGAGTGTTTTTGTTTGATATTTTTCCTCCACGGTTTTCCGGAGAAGACCAATTAAAAAAATTAGAGGTCGCATTAGAAAACAAACTTCATGCTAATAAACGACTTTGTTCTATCAGTGCAAAAACATGGGATGGAGCATTTAATTTTTACCAACTCTCCAGCTATCCTTGCAATTCAAGTTATCTCGTGTGTGCTTTTACACCATCACCAGCACAGCTTCACAATCTATAATAACTCTAAGTATGAATATGAACACTGTTAGCAGGAGTCAACTGTCAGATACAGTCAGGAGGATTTTCACATGCAATGGAGTGAAGCTGTAACTGCGGAGCATGCTATGCATTTGCAATAACTGTGTAAATGCAACCTTATGGGATTCCACACAGCACATTCTAAAAGCACGAAAGTGTGTTTGAAGGATAATGCTAAATGGTGTGAGGTATATTTTCCAAAAAGTGCACATCAAGAATCTAAGAATAAAGAAATAAAACCCAGAAAACCATATGTTAAAGCCTGTTTCCTCTCTGAGGTTGCATTAGAGTTATTTAAAAAGAAAGAAAGAAAAGAAAGAAAGAAAGAAAGAAAGAAAGAAAGAAAGAAAGAAAGAAAGAAAGAAAGAAAGAAAGAAAGAAAGAAAACACAAAAAAAAAACAGGAAGGAAATTAAATTTCTATTTTCACAGGCAATAATGTGTTGTACAATTTGCAATTAAAAATAAATTAGGCACAAAATCTGCAACAGATTGTTTTTAAACTTTCATTAAACCTCTTGAGTTATGCTGCTAGATGCAATGTGCTAACAGAAATGCTAGGGTTGAAATGAGTTTCTGGCATATGAAATAAAACTATGTCTTCAATCTACAAAAATTTAATTTACAGCTTAGCTGATTGGATGTAGCATTTTAACACCATTTTGGAGGTTTAAGAACAGCAAGTGCCATAATCCTCTGAGTATTTTGATCACTAGCACACAAGCATGTAACATACTTTGTGTTCAAGGGGAACCTTTATCCAGGATGCAAAGCTGGTGCTGAATTATAATCACATTCAAAAAGATTGCAAGCCTGTGGGTATTAAGCTTTGCACTCTCAAGCTTAGCCAAGAAGATTTAAGCAACCTACTCTGGGACCATACGGTTGATCTGATAAGAGTATTCTGAGACCTTGAAGTTTATTTTTATCAGAAGTTTTGCATTCAAGGTCTCAAACATTAGACCTTTTTAGTGCTAATCAAAAGTGTTTCCTTGCAAGCTCCTGCAATGACACTTATAAGCAGATGGAATTCATAAGAGAGAGACAAAGAGGAGAGGGACAGGCACAATGGTTTACCCCCTAAATAAAAGAAAATCTTGAAGGTCTACAAATAACTTCTGATGTCTTAGATGTTATTCCAGTTTTCTTTGCTGTACTAGTCTGAAAAAGATTTGTCAGGTATTTTCACTACTCAATTTAAATACTTAAGTTATTTGAAAGACAGATGCCATCTGTATCGTAAAGCAGTCAACTATTTTGTTGAACTTTTTTTGTCCAAATGATTCAGTGAGTTATTTACAGAGCAGGTACTGCTCACATTCAGTCTGTAAGATAAGATGCAAGGATAAAATAGAGTTCAGAATTTATTTTTACATATTCTTTCATAAAAATTATAATTGAACATAAGAGATTAAAAGGCAGTGGAAGAATCACATCAAATAATCATACCTAAATTTCTCTCCCTTGAAGAGATGAGAAAATAAAGGTCTAGGCAGCCCAGGGTCCCTGGGACATCTGGAACAAAAGTCGTGGACCTAACACCTTGTGTTCTTTCTTTGCTCTTTTGTAATCGGTGACTATTATGGGAGTTATTTCTCTTACATTTATGTCATTTTGATTGAAAAAGATAAAGGACTAAGATGATTTCACAACAACAGTGTATCTATTCTTACTTATTTATCATTTGTGGGTGTTTTTTCCCTATTTTTAACCAAAAAAAAAAAAAGAGTGCAATTCAAACTGGCAATATTTTGATGAAGGTCCAAGAAATAATATTTTTTTCTCTTTCAATTGAAATGAAATAGAAGTTGCCCACACATATGTTTTTTAAAAACACATAGCAAGTAAGGCACAGATTATCTTATTCATGGTCATTGAGGCTTAGTGTGATCTGTTAAGGTCTATTTGTGTCTCTTTCATCAATGAAAGCGTGTGACATAGTCCCAGCTTTTGTATCTGGTAGGCTCAACTGCCTGGGTGATACGGGGGGCATAGTTCAGTTAGAATAAGGAAGAGGCAGGGGTTAGGCCTAGGCTGGATCACATAGGGAAAGTTGCCTGAGTGGCGTGTGGGTTGGATGTGGTACACAGATGACCCGAGACGACTTTAGCAATTTCCTGCCATGTTGACTGGTCAAGGCAAGTGGTAGGCCCAGTGAAGATCTATCTGGATACACAGACTCAAGTAGATACATAGAGATCTTAGCCAAGCAAGAACAGAAGTCAGAGATTAAGTCCAGGGTTTAAGATTCAAATAGGGCCTGGGAATAGATGTACGTATATCAATGCTTCATATTCATAGTGTCAGAATCTTGATGCAAAAGGATGGCCTGCACGATGACACCATTTGCACACACATAACCATGGGCCCCGGGCGTAGCATGCTTTCAGCTCCAGTTTCTAGCAGACTTTGCAGTGTTCTTGAATAAAGACTTAGAATGATCCCATTTTTTTCTCCATCCCTCCCTTTGCCAAGAGGGTAAGACGACTTTCTTCAGGTGACTGTAATTGTAAAAGGGCAAATTCCTCAGGGGTGGCCTCAGCTTTTAAAGGAAGAACCTGCTGGTTCATATAGAGGCTTCCTTGATTAATTAAAGAATAAGGACAAAAAAATCCATCTAATGGTGGGTGGGAAGTCCACATCCTATCCAACAGCTGAATTAAGGTCTGGGTAGAAACAGTAATGAACTACACAATTATTGCAGGTCTTTTTTTCGGTCATCACTATGTCTGATCTCTAAAATATTTGACACCACTGAGGACTCCCTGATTTTGAAATCTCTCTCCTCTCCTATTTCCTGAAACGTAGCTCTCTGCTCGTTCTTCTACATTTCAGACTTTTCATTTTTATTGTCCTTTCTGGTTTCTCAACATCCTCATGAGTTATCCAATTATTGGGACATTTCAGGCTTCTATACTTGGTTCTTTGCCTTTCTCAAATACCCTTCCTGGATGCCCTCATTTTATCCCATGACTTCAGCCTCATCAAATCCTGATGATTCTGTCTCTACCTTCAGGTATTAGCCCTCTTCTGAGATCCAGAGCTGCATTTCTGTTGCCAACTGGACATATCAAATCTGGATGCCTTTAAGTACTTGAAAGCTAAAATGTCATAAACTGGACTCCTTTCTTTCTTTCCACTCCACCCCTCACTTCCCTACCATGCCTGCCTAAGCTTGTTCTTGCTACTCTAGTCTTCACCTTGGTTAATGGGGCAATTTTCTGCCCAAAGTGTTTATCCTGTGGTCATTTTCAAAGCTCTCATCCTCTTCCCTAACATCCAGTGTCATAAGAGTCTGTTAATTCAACCTGAAACACATCTCTCTGATCTGGTATGGCCTCTCCTGTCACCTTGCTGCTACTCTCATCCTACCCATTGCCTTACCATCAATCATTTGCAATAACTCTGGTATCTGATTCCTCCATTTCATGGTACTCACCATGTGGTCCAAGAAGGGAAGCATTAGCATCACGTTTGCTAGAAATAGAAATCCCTAGGCCCCACGCACACCTGTTGAGTAAGAAACTGGGTGAGGGGCCTGGCAATATGTGTTTTTAACAAGTGCTCCAGATCATTCTGAGGAATGCTCAGTTCGTGAATCACTGATGCAGTTGATCTCTGCTCTGCTGGCTGAATAATTCCCTGTATAAGAAACCCAACTGTGTCATTCCTCTCATGCATAAATCTGCTTGTAACCAATAAAATTAGCCAGTGTCTTGTGAAAAGCTTGTGTGATGGCCAATAGTGCTGTTTACCAACCTTCAGGGCACATGCTCCCCTTCAAAGTTAGGAATGCCCATGTATATTGTTTTGGTTAATGAAATTTAAAGTAAGAGATTTCTTTCACTTTTGGTGAGTGGTTTGTTTGTTTGTCTTTTTGAGACAGAGTTTCACTGTGGTTGCCCAGGCTGGAGTGCCATGGCACGATCTCAGCTCACTGCAACCTCTGCCTCCCTGGTTCAAGCTATTCTCCTGCCTTGGCCTCCCGAGCAGCCGGGATTACAGGCATGTGCCACCATGCCCAGCTAATTTTGTGTTTTTAGTAGAGATGAGGTTTCTCCATGTTGGTCAGGCTGGTCTTGAACTATCGACTTCAGGTGATCCACCTGCCTCGGCCTCCCAAAGTGGTGGGATTACAGGCGTGAGCCACCGTGTCTGGCCGGTGAGTGTTTTTTAAATAACCAGTGCACAACTTGCCCCGTCTCTTTCTCCCTGTCATGGTCTCTAGCAGCATTCAGGTGGTGGAGGGTCTGTTAGCCTGGGCCCTAGAGAAAGGATGATGAGGAGCAGAAGTGTGAGCTGACTGTGATGGCTATGTATGGGAGTGAGAAATAAACCCTTGTTTCAAGTTACTGAGATGTGGGAGTGTCTGTTCCTGCTGCACAACCTAGCCTATTCACAATGATTCACTTTACTTTCTTGTTCTTGGCCCCCACTCAGTAATTCTCCTTTCCTATAGTTTGTGCACAAAGAATAATAAATTCACTGTTCAGTCAATCTGCCAAGCTTCTTTATGACATCACAGCTTTGCAGATCCTACTCTCTGTGCTTGGAAGACTTAACATACGTTTTTACCCAGAAAATTCCAGCTCATTCTTTGAGTCTCAACTCAGATATTTAATCTTCTGGTTGTTTTCTACTGACTTCCTGGGGCAAAGTCAATTGCTCCATCCTGTCGGCTATCACGGTAATCTTTGCATGCTTCTGGCATATTTTGTATCATGGTTTAGTATAATTTAATTGTCCAGGCTTTTGCTCTTCTTACTAAATAGTAATTTTCTCAATGATTGGGGCTGTGACTTACTCATTTTTAGTCCATCAGGGGAATTAGTTATTTTAAAGGAACTTTAAATATAAAACATATAAAATATAAATATAAAACATCTCTTATATTTTTCTAAAAATAGAGTAACCTAAATCTTCTACAGCTATCACAGTACATATGTGTGTGTCTGTGTGTGTGTGTGTATATATATATGTCTATATATGTACATATGTCTATATATGTCTATATATGTCTATATATATCTATATATATCTATATATGTATGTGTGTGTGTGTATATATATATACACATTCAGTAGTTCTTTAAACTTTTTTCTTGTATTCTTTAATTTTTTGGTTGTTTTACCCAATGTCATATTGGTTTAAGGTCTTCATGAAACCGTCAGCAATAATCCCCATGTCCTTTGCTTAGGTGGCAACAATGACTTGGTATAATTAACCCCTTGAATATTGAAACTACAAATTTATATAGCAGAAGTGACAGTTTTATGAGCGAACTCACCATGCTAAAATTACAGTTTTTATCTCTTTCACCTGAATGCATTATCTTATCTGACCATAGCATCATTCATCTGCCACTTTTTGCCCACTCCACAATTTTGTGAGGACTTCTCGTACTTTATTCGTGTCAGTTTCATATGTCACTGCCTCAAGCAGTTTAGTTCCATATGCTAACAAATATTTCATCATGGGTTTGCCCTTTGTACATCATAAGTAAGACTGCTTTGACACATATTCCTTGACCTGGACTTGCCAAAAAATGCTGCTTCGTCTGGATGCAGCCCATTCTGTTGATGATGGCATCATTGTTCTGAGACATCCAGGACACCATGTGACCCCTTCATCTTCTTCTTCTTTTTTTTTTTTTTTTTTTGAAATGGAGTCTCACTCTGTTACCCAGGCTGGAATGCTGTGGCTGGATCTTGGCTCACTGAAACCTCTGCCTCCTGGGTTCAAGCGATTCTCCTGCATCAGCCTTCTGAGTAGCTGGGATTACAGGCGCCGCCCCCCAACCACACCCAGCTCATTTTTGTATTTTAAGTAGAGATGGGGTTTCACCATGCTGTCCAGACTGGTCTCGAACTCCTGACCTCAAATGATCCACCCACCTCAGCCTTCCAGTGTGCTGGGATTACAGGTGTGAGCCACTGCGTCTGGCCCCCTTCGTCTTCCTGGCTCCCCATAGCTGATCTAGTATCCAATGCCCTTCACACTTATTTCTTTTCTCCCGTTCTATGTTTAAAAATTCATCTTTCTGAGTTCTTCTCTATTTATCCCCCTAAAAATTCTGAGAACAAAACAACAAAACTAGATTCTTAAAACAATACCAGCTCACTATTTCTTTGCCCTAAGGCCTTCAAAAACTCTTACCGTCAATATAAAGTCAATCTCCTTACTGAATTATATAAATAACTCCACAAATGGCCTTTACCTTCCATTCTACTTTCATCTTCCACGCATCTCCCAATTTAACCATCTTCATTTTAACACCTCTCTGTGGCATTTCACCAGCTGGACTTATTCATTCCGACTTCTGTTCGTTTGCTCATAGGCTGCCCCTCGACTAGAATTCTTTTACTTGTTCTTGTTGCCTTAATAACCATACTCATTTTTCAAGATAAAGCTCATTTCTCTCCTTCATTAAGCAAGACCTTTCTCGCCTATAAAACTCTTTCCTCATTTAAACTTAAGGCACCTACAAAATACATTATTCATTGAACAATTACGAAATAACATTCTTACTTTTTAGTCTCAGTTTAATTGTCTCCCTGATCATAAGTTTGCTTACTATTGGGATGCCTTATAATTTTTCCCCAGGAATTTTTCTCAAATACTTAATACTTAGGATGATTTCAACAACTTATTGAGCACATGTTGTATTGGACGGGCCAAGCAAGAAACTGTCTGTTACAGTTTTGTCTTTGCTTCAGGCCTCTGCCAAGGGCTTCCTTACCCTTGGTTCTCTCTGCTTTTTTCCATGTGACACTCCCTCCCTAGAGGTGTGCAAATGTCCAGAAGGCAGCCAATCTGTGGGCTGACCAGCAGCCTTAGATTGGTCCTGACCATAGAACTCGGTTTATCATGGTGTTGAATATTGGACCAGTGGAGTCAACCAGATCCTTCTTCTCTGTAATTTTGAACTTTAGAGATGAAAAACAAAAGCATTATTTAACACAATAGGCAGGCAAAGCAGAAATAGAGAATAGCCCATTTACTACAAAGGCAGAGCCCTAGAATTAGGAGATGGCCTTTGCAGAGAAGACAAGCCAGCTCGGCTGGTTGTGTCCTGATCTGTGCTCCAGGCTCTGACAGGCCTGCATGCAGGCTGAGCTATATGTCTCATGGGGCACTCTAAGCAGCTGACCTGGGGCCTGTAAGACTGTATGGGCCTACAAAAAATATACGAAACCTAAAAAAAGTCTAAAGGGCTAAAAAACACAAACATGAAACTAATACAATATGTATAAAACATCACAAGAGTTGGTACATTTGGTATTTGTAATAATTTTGTTACTTTTGAAAACAGTGTACAGGTTAGATTTTCTCATGTATGCATGATATATTTCTCCCTATGCTTGCTTGACATATGCAGCTTTGTGACTCATGTGACTCATGGACAAGTTATTTTAATAGTAGAATTATAATAATAACTTCAATTTTTATAAAAGTTTTTATTTACCACAGATTTTTAAATTCATTTTTATACCTTTGCTATGACATGAAATTGAGTATCCAAGTCAGAAGAGCTCAGGACTTTGTAAATTCATTAAAAAAAAATATTGTGCTCCTATAAGGAACTATTAACTGAGATAATTTTAGTTTGTCTTAATTTCCTTGCATGTAAGACCCTAATATACATACTATGAATCAAATGCTTTGCCCATATTACTGCCAATCCTTACCATAGGCCCATGAGAAACCTTTATTCATTTTGTAAGGGAGTATATAAAAAATAAAAAAATTCTCAAGACTTGGGGATTAAGTTTAGCTTCCTAAAGCTAGGACATGGCAGAAGCAGATTTATGCTCATCTGTGAGGCTCCAGAGTTCTCTCTCTACCATGCTGCTTCCTCATTGTTAGTTTCTCTCCACCATTATAAAACCTTTCTCTCTTTCTTTCCTTCTTTCTTTCTTTCTCTTTTTTTTTTTTTTTTTTTTTTTTTTTTTTGACAGAATCTTGCTCTATTGCCCAGACTGGAGTGCAGTGGTGCATTCTTGAATCACTGCAACCTCTGCTTACTGAGCTCAAGCCATCCTCCTGCCTCAGCCTCTCAAGTACTGGGACTACAGACCTGTGCCTCCATGCCCAGCTAAATTTTGTATTTTTTATAGAGGTGGAGTTTTGCCATGTTGGCCAAACTGGCCTTGAACTCCCAGGCTCAAGCAATAGACCTGCCTTGGCCTCTCAAAGCGCTGGGATTACAGGCGTGAGCCACCATGCCCGGCTGATATCTTTCCCTATATTTTCTTTTCCTTTATCAGTCAATTATCTAACAAACAATTAAAAAATAGGGACAGCAGAGGAGAATAAATCTGATTGATGCTGGATGGGCCTATCATAATAGGCTGTGGACTGACTTACCATTAGCTCACGCATTTAGTGTGTTCCTTTTACTTTTTGATACTGTGTTGTGTGAAACTCTTTTGTCCTTTGGTTTGGTTTTTTGTTTTTGTTTGGGGGGGTGTTTTCCCCTCCTTTGCCCAGACTTCTCCTTTAACACAGTTGTGTTAGCCTGTGGCTAGAACGCCCTCTTCCTACCTCAGCCTCCCCTCACTTGTCATATCCTCTGACACGCTAACATTTCTTTTGTTCATCTCTGTTGCCCTCACAGAAAGGTCCCAAAAAGAACCAGTCAGGGTTCCTCCCCAATGCCTAGGTTTCTGGGATAGGTTTCTGTTACATCTTCTTTAATCGCCTCTTAAAAATGTTTAGAAAATCTGGAGCTCAAAAATGCATTCGGCCATGTTGATAATTTAGTAAGTTAAGAACATCAAACATCATGACAGGGCTGCGTTAGAGGTTACTTACTTGTGGTAGCAGGACTGATTTGATTGAAATTGCTACCATGTGCATTGACACCACATAAATAATCAACCAGCCTACTGGGTTGCATTGCACTTTCTACCCGTGCATGAAATTTATGAGGTTTCTTCTTAGCTTTGTATCATGGCCAAAGAGGTACTATTGGGTTGCTTGATACGTGCAAAATAGAGGAAGAAGGCATTTGGTCTGGCAGGTGTGTCAGATGGGAGAATGATGGGGGCTGAACTGCTGGGAGAGGTCAGAAGATACCCATGCTAAAATGTGACTATCCTCATGTTTATCCCAAACCAATCTTGGGCTTTTCCATTCATTGGCTTTCTTTGTTTGACCCTTATTTCCCTTGAAGGTTTTATTAAGTTCAACTATATTCTGTCAACTTTTCCAGTTTCAGTAGACTCTTGTATTTCTGGTTCATTATAACGAATTCTTCCCTCAAATCCACCCAGGATTCTTTCTTTATTTGGGGCTCTTCAAAATGCTATGGCTACTTTAACAATGTCTTCATATACCCCTTGTATAGGTGAAAGAGTCTCCTTCTTCCTATTTGTATAAAAGTTCTGGAGAGAAAAAAAATATTTCCCCAATCCAACCATAAGTTACTATATGTCATTATGTGTAACTTGGTATTTTAAACCTTGGATTTTAGGAATGGTGTCAGGATCAGAGAAACTGAGATAAGGCAACAGTTGAAGGAGACACAACAGTGACCAGAGCAGCCCAGATCAAGGTTAAGAACACTCCAATCCCAGGCCTGGAGCCAAATGCACAGTGCTGTTAGGTCCCAGCCCTGCCTTCGGCCTAGAAGTCCATTAAATAGCATCTCACTATACAATCGGCCAGATCAAAATGAGTAGCAAGGTGTTCTCTTTTTTTTTTTTTTTTTCCTGAGACAGAGTCCCTCTCTGTTGCCCAGGCTGGAGTGCAATGGTGCGATCTTGGCTCACTGCAACCTCCGCCTCCCTGGTTCAAGTGATTCTCCTGCCTCATCTAATTTTTTGTATTTTTAGTAGAGACGGGGTTTCACCATGTTAGCCAGGATGGTCTTGATCTCCTGACCTCGTGATCCGCCCACCTTGGTCGGCCTCCCAAAGTGCTGGGATTACAGGTGTTCTCTTAAAAGGAAAAGTTGTAAAAGAGAAAGGCAGACCATGGGTGTGGGCAGGACAGAGGAAAGCTCGTCCCTCCTTGTGTGGTCTTGGTGAGAAATTGAAAAGAGAGAGGGTGGTAGACTGATTGTCTATGTAAGCCTCTGATATTTTTTGTTTGCTTGCTTAATTTAATATCTTAGTATTTCTTTTTTTTTTCAGCCTCCTTGAGGTTTAATTGACAAATAAAAGTGTATGTATTTAAAATGCACAATGTGATGATTTGACGTATGTGTAATCATAAAATGGTTACCACAATCAGCTAGTCAACAACATCTCACCTAGTTACCTTTTTTTGATTGTTTGTTTTATTTTTGTGGTGAGAACATTCAAAGGGTACAAACCTTCAGCTATAGCCTATGCTCCAGCTAAGTGCTCCCAATGACTGCACTGACTCTCATTCCTGGATAAAAAATTAGAATCCATTAGAAATATTTTTTAAACGTTTGCATTCAGCACTGCCCCTCCTTCCCTACCCCACCCAGGTCATGCCTTAGCTTTTGAAGGGTGAAACCCAGGCTTCAGTACTTTCAAAGCAAAAACCTCAATTACTTTTGCACCAGCCTAATAAAAGATAGGATCTGAGGATCTCATGTACAGCATAGTGACTCTAGTTAATAACACTGCTTTGTATACTGAATTTGCTAAGAGAGTAAATCTTAAATAGCCTCAGATCATTTGGTCATTGAGCTAGAGACTGCCTAGCTACTAAATCAGAGAATGTGGGACCAGTAAGGACTGGGGTTAGGGACAGCACCAGGAAGATGGTGGCATCAAGCATGTGGTCAGTCCAGATGAGAACCACAAGCTCATTTTGAAAGTCAGAATCACATCTGCATACTCAGCAATGACAGATTCTGAAAAGAAGGAGAAAACATCAAGTCAGAAGGGCAACTCAGACCCGGAATCCGTGAAGAAAAGTCAGGACAGGAAGTGTGAACAATGGTTCAGGAACTTAGAAAAAATGGGCCACAGAAATAGGCCTGCTGCAGTGGACAGGGCTTGTATCCTAAGCTACATTTCTGCGGCAGTCACAGAGTTTTATAGATTCCTGATGGGAAATTATAAGCAACATAGCTTACTAAGGATGCCAAGAGCATCCTCAACCATTGCTGCTTATAGAAGTCACTGAGAAATATTTAAATAGTACTGAAGCCTGGGACATACCCTACAAAAACGAAGTCATGACCAGGATGGAGTAGAAAAGGAGGGGTGGTGCTGAGTACAAACATTTAAAAATATTTCTAGTGAATTCTAATTTTTTGTCCAGGAATGAGAATCAATGCCGTCATTGGGAGCACTTAGCTGGAGCATAGACCGTAGGAAATGAGGAAACCCCAGCAGTTTCTGGTAGGTATACTCCTGTTTATTAATGTGACCTCAGATTACAAGGACAGAGATTACAGAAGTTATGTGGGAATCGCAGCACTATCTATACACTATACATTTATTCCCATGAGGTTAGGGACCATGCCTTCTTGTTCTCCCCATTATATTTTTAGCAACCAGCACAGTGCCTGGCCCATAATAGATGCTCAGTAAATAATATGTGGAATGAATGAATGGATTCCCAGCAGGAACTGGCACTTGTACTTCGAGTTTACTAATTTTATTGATGTCTACAGTGCATTTTTGGTAAGAGCATTGTGCTTATTTTTGCATTTAAACTTTCAGGTAATAATTTACATCAGTCTGGAGAAAGTTAGGGAAAGAACACAAACTGTTAGTCTGCATTTAGGGTTCAAATCATAGTTCTGTCTCTTCTAAACCAGGCAACACTTGACGATTCATTTAACCTCCCTGGCTCTGTTTTGGTTTTGCAAAATCAACTCATGACTTAGAAGGGCTGTTAGGAAGATTAAAGATAAGTACGTAGCCAGGTGTGGTTGCTTATGCATGTAGTCCCAGCTATGTGGGAGGCCGAGGCTGGAGGGTTGCTTGAGCACAAAAGTTTGAGACTAGACTGGACAACATAGTAAGACCCCATCTCTGAAAAATACTGTTTTAAATAAAAAAGATATAAGTACGCAAAGCACACAGAGAAGCACATGCTGATCAGGAAGTATTGTGAATAATGAATGATTATCATTATTAATAAATGCTCTTTCATTCAACAGACCTATATGTAGTAGCTCCACTTTTATCGGGTATGAAGTTGACAGGGATCGATACTAACAATAAATTAATGAAGTTATAAACCGAAGGAGCAAACACCCACTACTAAGAAAACTGTCACCTTTCAAATATATTTGAACATGAAGGAAATAAAATACTTTTTTATATTGGGATGCAAATATTATCTTTCCTTGTTGCTCACGGTATCAAGACAAACATTCTAAATAAGGAATAAGGAAGTTAAATGTAATAGTCAGAGAACTTAGAAATGTACCAAACCAGCTGGGCACGGTGGCTCATGCCTGTAATCCCAGCACTTTGGGAGGCCAAGGCAGGTGGATCACCTGAGGTCAGGAGTTCGAGACCAGCCTACCAACAGCGTGAAACCCCGTTTCTACTAAAAATACAAAAATTAGCTGGGCGTGGTGGCAGGCAGCTGTAATCCCAGCTACTTGGGAGGCTGAGTTGGGAGAATCGCTTGAACCCAGGAGGCAGAGGTTGCAGTGAGCCGAGATTGCACCCCTGCACTTCAGGCAAAAAAAAAAAAAAAGTAACGTACCAAACCAGAATATTCCTTGGGTGCTCTGAGAGGAAACATTCCACAATTCTGTTTGAAGAATTACAGTCAGGCAGTTTACAAAAGTGTAAGTATGTTCAAATTTCTGAAGCTTTGCCAGAGACCTAAATGTCATAAAAATGAGAATAAGGAGTTCAGTATAAATCTTATGAAAATATTATAAGGATTTTTTTCCCTCCAATTAGTCTTGTTTACCTGACACTGGTGACATTTTTAATTTTTCAAAATAATTTTAAGAAGTAACTAAATCTACACTTTGGGCTAGGACTATACCTTTAAAATAGTAAAGTATTTACAGGTATCTTAGGACTTGAATCTTTTCAAGCTTCAGAATAATTTCTGATTTAATCTTATCATCCACATTTTTGTAAAAGAATATACAGGTAGAATCTGCTCTGAAGTGGATTCTAGGGACCAGCGGCAAACAAGAAATTTCAGGGGCTGAGCAGTTGATCATTGTCCACGAGAGTCCACTTCACACATGAGTGAGTGAGTGAGAGCCCGATTAATGATGTGCTCAAACATAAGAAAAGCCCAGGCCTCCCCGGCTGCAATTGCCTAACTGAAATGAGGGTGAAAAAATAGCAGAGGGCAGACAGAGAGAAGCGTGTTTGTCTACTGGGGGAGCAGTCTTTCTAATGTCACTGTGCGTGGAGCTAGTCTTTTTCTCCGTATGCATTTATAAAGATCGATCAGCTTTAGAACAGGCTGAATATATTGGGCCAGTCTCACCAGTGAGATAAGATGGACAGGGAAATTAATACGAGGGAAAACTGGCCATTTTGGCTGGAACATAGCCAAGGAGGACTCCTGGAGGGTAGGCTAAGGTATGTCCTTAGAAGATTAAAGCAAATGTCCACACCGCCACCATCTTTCATAATGAAACATTAGAAAAATCATAAATATCAGTCAAAAAGTGTTTAAAATATGGTATTTCTGAATAGTAGATATTATGTAGCCTTAAAGATGGTATTTTAAATGGACACATTTTATTTTCACAAATTTTAAATGGACACATTTTATTTTCAGAAATAATAACATGCAAATGTTTCACAATTGTTACAAATGAAAAAGTGGACATAGAATTATTCTATTAAATATATATAATGAAAGACCTTTATTTAAATAAATGTGTGAGCATGTATAAACTGACATAAATAAGCACGCATTTATGCACACTATAGTAAACAAAACAGCAAAACAGAAATATCCTAGAAAATAGTTTTTTTCAGATTATGGAATTATAGGTAACCTTCACTTTTTTTTTTCCTTAAATATCTAACATCAAGGACTTGGAAGTTTAGTGGAGTTAGGGTCAAATTCCAGCTCCTGAGCTTTCTAGCTGTATAACCTTGAGGAATAGACTTAACTGCTGAATCTCATTTTTTTTTTCCCATTTATAAAATAAGAAACAACCTTTGCACCCAGGATTATTTTGGAAATATTTTAAGATCACGTTTGTAAAGTGCTTTCCACAGAGTCTTGTATGGAACAAATACTCTTTCAAAGTAAATTGGTATTATCTTTCATCCTACAGAAAATTTGAATTGTAATTAAGAATGTTTTTTTAAGTCTATTAAAGATGAAATAAAAAGACCGTAGGAACAACAGAATAAAAACACAGTGTGGGAAGAGAGCTGATAGGAAGGACACAAGACAGTGTCTGGGGTGTTTGACCAGGCAGAGTTTAGAGAAGAAAAAGCAAGTCCCGGTGACCCCTGACCAGAGAACAGAGGTGGGAGAAGCAAACACCTCCAGAGCACTTATTATTATTATTATTACTATTTACCCTTGAAATCCGATCAGACATCAGTGGCTTTCAGGGATCAAGAAATAGACAAAATAATCAAAGGGGAAGACAAAGGATTCAAGTGTAAGACCAAGAGTTGAGCTACTCCTGGGAGAGACACAATCACGGTCTTGTTGAAGAATCCACATTAGTTGCAACACTACTTTTATTGTTTAGTAAATCTTTATATAATTTATCTTAAGTGTAATTGCTTATTCCATAATAATTACTTTGTTCCCAGAGTTCCCAAATCAAGAGTCCCTTTCTGGGAGCATTCAGAGTGCACACAGAATGTTCTAAGCCACAACCTGGAGTCATGCCAGGCAAAATTTTTCCCTGGAAAATTTACAGCCTGGGCAGAGGCATTTTGTCTAACTGTGTCCTGACTTTATTCTTCCTGAGCAGAATCAACTAAAAAAGGTGCTGCTCTCATGAAGAAAAGCCTAGATTATTTTTTTTCCTTTATCTCTGCTTAGCAGGTAAGGATACCTCCCAGAATTAGTACCAAAAGTGGAGTGCTTCTGTTACATGAAGACTAAAAGTGGTGAACTGGTATAACTCAAATGAACAATCTGAAAACCTTGACTACAAATTTTCTGACACCTCCATCACCAAAAGCAGCTCCCTGTGAAGTTGAAACATCAAAGATCAAGTTTAGTGTGGTCAGATATTTATGAAATATTTTTCCTAGGGGAGTTTCCTTTCATAGATGTTCAGGAGACAGATTCTGCTCTGATAGGGTGAATACGAAAACAGAGCACATTATTTCAAGGTTATGAAGTGAACATATTCTTTAACCTTCAAGCAATAACATGTTACAGGTTCTGCACATTTTTCTTGGAACTTTAGTTAAAACAAATAAAATGTTATTATTGACGAGGAATAGTCAACTATGAAATAGACATCGCAATTTGGCAACTCTTCTTTCAGGCATTTTTCTGCCAGGATGGGGGGATCAGAAAAAGTAAAAAATAAAATTTAGCAAGATGACATAGATGCAGCAACTTATGGCCTCACAAAACAATCCAGAAAGTGCTCTGGCTTTGTATTTACTTTCATTAGCACAAGCAGATAACAAGCTACTGAATTCTTTATCCCTCCATTCCCACTGTTTTCATCTACCTACTGGTGAAACCATCCATAACTAAGCCAGTAAGACAAATTTTATTAGTGAGTTCTAAGAGTTAAAATATAGCTGAATCCCCCTTCTCATTTTAGCCCCTTGCTCAATTTCTTAAAACTTCATTCATTCATCAATGTGTTCAATAAACATAATAGAGGCTTGCCATGAGCTGAACATTGGCTAAGCAAAAAGACAATCTCTGATCTTCATCTCCAGGTGTATGTATTCACTGGGGATAAAGACACATACACAAAGCAATAGTTGACATGTGGTTTGGAAAGCATTAAGTTAGATTCAGGGATGCCCAGGATTCTCCACCATACAGAAGAGGATGAAGTGGAAGCGGGTGATGGCAGGAACGACCTACCAGAGAATTTGGCAGGTTAAACTTTCTTACAGTTATGTAGAAGCCATTCCGGTTTGGGATGGAGAATTAGCTACAGGCATTTACAACTGAAGTAAGAAAAATTGACTGTTTTGTTCATAAACTCACATAGATTGAGATAATTGGTAACTGACTTAGCAGACCTGGGAAGGCTGGATCTTCCATCAGCAGTGGAGAAAGCTTGGAAGTGGCCTGATTTATACCATGGAGTCACCAGAGGGCACATGTATTGGCCGCACCAAGTAGCCCTGGAGTTGGTACACAGAGCATTGGCTGAAATCTGCTTAAGTAGCAGTTAGGCCTGCAGATCCTGGCCTACAACCACGTTACTTCCTTTCATTTTTCTCTAGCACCCCAGGAATGGAGGTTTCATCTCCGGAGATGACAAAACGCTAGGGTGATTGAGAAAGGAGATCACATATTGGAAATACATGTCTACACGATGAATGTTGAGTGAAATTCCAATTTTTTAAACTCACTTAACTCAGTATGCTGGCAGCAAGACTTTAAATTTCCAGGCAGGACACTGAAAGAACCTTCTCTGGTGAATCTGGCCAGCCCTAGAGAAAATACACTGACTCTGGGGGTTCTCCCAAGGAACTGCTCAGTCAGGCCAACCCAGTGTGGGAACCACAGCAAACACACCTACCGAAGCACAGAGAGCTTGCATACAGTTCTTCCTTTCTACATTTGTAGGTATAAGTTGATGGCAAAGGTTTCTAGTCTTTGAGGAGAATATGTAAAATGAAAGGCAAAGACGAAAACAAGAAAGCCAGCATACTAGAAGTCATGCAAGAAAAAAAGAAAACAAGACCCATCAATTAACAACAGTAGCTTCAGAGGAACAAGAAAATATATGCACTTGTGACAAAAGAATAGAATATTATAAAAAAGAAAAACACAGACATTTTAAAATTGCTTTGAAATTGAATGTACAAGGTAGGAGGAGTCTTGGCAAACAAAATGTTATAAGAAAGTTGAAAAGACAAGAGATGGGAAAATGGAGACAAAATATAAATGATTAAAAAAAAAACATTTGAGGGAGGAGCCAAGATGGCCGAATAGGAACAGCTCCGGTCTACAGCTCCCAGCGTGAGCGATGCAGAAGACGGGTGATTTCTGCATTTCCATCTGAGGTACCGGGTTCATCTCACTAGGGAGTGCCAGACAGTGGGCGCAGGCCAGTGGGTGCGCGCACCGTGCGCGAGCCGAAGCAGGGCGAGGCATTGCCTCACCTGGGAAGCGCAAGGGGTCAGGGAGTTCCCTTTCCGAGTCAAAGAAAGGGGTGACGGACGCACCTGGAAAATCGGGTCACTCCCACCCGAATATTGCGCTTTTCAGACCGGCTTAAAAAACGGCGCACCACGAGACTATATCCCGCACCTGGCTGGGAGGGTCCTACGCCCACGGAGTCTCGCTGATTGCTAGCACAGCAGTCTGAGATCAAACTGCAAGGCGGCAGCGAGGCTGGGGGAGGGGCGCCCACCATTGCCCAGGCTTGCTTAGGTAAACAAAGCAGCCAGGAAGCTCGAACTGGGTGGAGCCCACCATAGCTCAAGGAGGCCTGCCTGCCTCTGTAGGCTCCACCTCTGGGGGCAGGGCACAGACAAACAAAAAGACAGCAGTAACCTCTGCAGACTTAAATGTCCCTGTCTGACAGCTTTGAAGAGAGCAGTGGTTCTCCCAGCACACAGCTGGAGATCTGAGAATGGGCAGACTGCCTCCTCAAGTGGGTCCCTGACCCCTGACCCCCGAGCAGCCTAACTGGGAGGCACCCCCCAGCAGGGGCACACTGACACCTCACACGGCAGGGTATTCCAACAGACCTGCAGCTGAGGGTCCTGTCTGTTAGAAGGAAAACTAACAAACAGAAAGGACATCCACACCGAAAACCCATCTGTACATCACCATCATCAAAGACCAAAAGTAGATAAAACCACACAGATGGGGAAAAAACGGAACAGAAAAACTGGAAACTCTAAAACGCAGAGCGCCTCTCCTCCTCCAAAGGAACGCAGTTCCTCACCAGCAACGGAACAAAGCTGGATGGAGAATGATTTTGACGAGCTGAGAGAAGAAGGCTTCAGATGATCAAATTACTCTGAGCTATGGGAGGACATTCAAACCAAAGGCAAAGAAGTTGAAAACTTTGAAAAAAATTTAGAAGAATGTATAACTAGAATAACCAATACAGAGAAGTGCTTAAAGGAGCTGATGGAGCTGAAAACCAAGGCTCGAGAACTACGTGAAGAATGCAGAAGCCTCAGGAGCCGATGCGATCAACTGGAAGAAAGGGTATCAGCAATGGAAGATGAAATGAATGAAATGAAGCGAGAAGGGAAGTTTAGAGAAAAAAGAATAAAAAGAAATGAGCAAAGCCTCCAAGAAATATGGGACTATGTGAAAAGACCAAATCTACGTCTGATTGGTGTACCTGAAAGTGATGCGGAGAATGGAACCAAGTTGGAAAACACTCTACAGGATATTATCCAGGAGAACTTCCCCAATCTAGCAAGGCAGGCCAACGTTCAGGTTCAGGAAATACAGAGAACGCCACAAAGATACTCCTCGAGAAGAGCAACTCCAAGACACATAATTGTCAGATTCACCAAAGTTGAAATGAAGGAAAAAATGTTAAGGGCAGCCAGAGAGAAAGGCCGGGTTACCCTCAAAGGGAAGCCCATCAGACTAACAGCGGATCTCTGGGCAGAAACCCTACAAGCCAGAAGAGAGTGGGGGCCAATATTCAACATTCTTAAAGAAAAGAATTTTCAACCCAGAATTTCATATCCAGCCAAACTAAGCTTCGTAAGTGAAGGAGAAATCAAATACTTTACAGACAAGCAAATGCTGAGAGATTTTGTCACCACCAGGCCTGCCCTAAAAGAGCTCCTGAAGGAAGCACTACACATGGAAAGGAACAACTAGTACCAGCTGCTGCAAAATCATGCCAAAATGTAAAGACCATCCAGACTAGGAAGAAACTGCATCAACTAACGAGCAAAATCACCAGCTAACATCATAATGACAGGATCAAATTCACACATAACAATATTAACTTTAAATGTAAATGGACAAAATTCTCCAATTAAAAGACACAGACTGGCAAGTTGGATAGAGTCAAGACCCATCAGTGTGCTGTATTCAGGAAACCCATCTCACATGCAGAGACACACATAGGCTCAAAATAAAAGGATGGAGGAAGATCTACCAAGCAAATGGAAAACAAAAAAAGGCAGGGGTTGCAATCCTAGTCTCTGATAAAACAGACTTTAAACCAACAAAGATCAAAAGAGACAAAGAAGGCCATTACATAATGGTAAAGGGATCAATTCAACAAGAGGAGCTAACTATCCTAAATATATATGCACCCAATACAGGAGCACCCAGATTCATAAAGCAAGTCCTGAGTGACCTACAAAGAGACTTAGACTCCCACACATTAATAATGGGAGACTTTAACACCCCACTGTCAACATTAGACAGATCAACGAGACAGAAAGTCAACAAGGATACCCAGGAATTGAACTCAGCTCTGCACCAAGCGGACCTAATAGACATCTACAGAACTCTCCACCCCAAATCAACAGAATATACATTTTTTTCAGCACCACACCACACCTATTCCAAAATTGACCATATAGTTGGAAGTAAAGCTCTCCTCAGCAAATGTAAAAGAACAGAAATTATCACAAACTATCTCTCAGACCACAGTGCAATCAAACTAGAACTCAGGATTAAGAATCTCACTCAAAGCTGCTCAACTACATGGAAACTGAACAACCTGCTCCTGAATGACTACTGGGTACATAACGAAATGAAGGCAGAAATAAAGATGTTCTTTGAAACCAACGAGAACAAACACACAACATACCAGAATCTCTGGGACGCATTCAAAGCAGTGTGTAGAGGGAAATTTGTAGCACTAAATGCCCACAAGAGAAAGCAGGAAAGATCCAAAATTGACACCCTAACATCACAATTAAAAGAACTAGAAAAGCAAGAGCAAACACATTCAAAAGCTAGCAGAAGGCAGGAAATAACTAAAATCAGAGCAGAACTGAAGGAAATAGAGACACAAAAAACCCTTCAAAAAATCAATGAATCCAGGAGCTGGTTTTTTGAAAGGATCAACAAAATTGATAGACCACTAGCAAGACTAATAAAGAAAAAAAGAGAGAAGAATCAAATAGACACAATAAAAAATGATAAAGGGGATATCACCACTGATCCCACAGAAATACAAACTACCATCAGAGAATACTACAAACACCTCTACGCAAATAAACTAGAAAATCTAGAAGAAATGGATACATTCCTCGACACATACACTCTCCCAAGACTAAACCAGGAAGAAGTTGAATCTCTGAATAGACCAATAATAGGAGCTGAAATTGTGGCAATAATCAATAGTTTACCAACCAAAAAGAGTCCAGGACCAGATGGATTCACAGCCGAATTCTACCAGAGGTACAAGGAGGAACTGGTACCATCCCTTCTGAAACTATTCCAATCAACAGAAAAAGAGGGAATGCTCCCTAACTCATTTTATGAGGCCAGCATCATTCTGATACCAAAGCCGGGCAGAGATACAATCAAAAAAGAGAATTTTAGACCAATATCCTTGATGAACATTGATGCAAAAATCCTCAATAAAATACTGGCAAACCGAATCCAGCAGCACATCAAAAAGCTTATCCACCATGATCAAGTGGGCTTCATCCCTGGGTTGCAAGGCTGGTTCAATATATGCAAATCAATAAACGTAATCCAGCATATAAACAGAGCTAAACACAAAAACCATATGATTATCTCAATAGATGCAGAAAAAGCCTTTGACAAAATTCAACAACCTTCATGCTAAAAACTCTCAATAAATTAGGTGTTGATGGGACGTATTTCAAAATAATAAGAGCTATCTATGACAAACCCACAGCCAATATCATACTGAATGGGCAAAAACTGGAAGCATTCCCTTTGAAAACTGGCACAAGACAGGGATGCCTTCTCTCACCGCTCCTATTCAACATAGTGTTGGAAGTTCTGGCCAGGGCAATCAGGCAGGAGAAGGAAATAAAGGGTATTCAATTAGGAAAAGAGGAAGTCAAATTGTCCCTGTTTGCAGATGACATGATTGTTTATCTAGAAAACCCCATCGTCTCAGCCCAAAATCTCCTTAAGCTGATAAGCAACTTCAGCAAAGTCTCAGGATACAAAATCAATGTACAAAAATCACAAGCATTCTTATACACCAACAACAGACAAACAGAGAGCCAAATAATGAGTGAATTCCCATTCACAATTGCTTCAAAGAGAATAAAATACCCAGGAATCCAACTTACAAGGGATGTGAAGGACCTCTTCAAGGAGAACTACAAACCACTGCTCAAGGAAATAAAAGAGGATACAAACAAATGAAAGAACATTCCATGCTCATGGGTAGGAAGAATCAATATCGTGAAAATGGCCATACTGCCCAAGGTAATTTACAGATTCAATGCCATCCCCATCAAGCTACCAATGACTTTCTTCACAGAATTGGAAAAGACTACTTTAAAGTTCATATGGAACCAAAAAAGAGGCCGCACTGCCAAGTGAATCCTAAGCCAAAAGAACAAAGCTGGAGGCATCACACTACCTGACTTCAAACTATACTACAAGGCTACAGTAACCAAAACAGCATGGTACTGGTACCAAAACAGAGATATAGATCAATGGAACAGAACAGAGCCCTCAGAAATAACACCGCATACCTACAACTATCTGATCTTTGTCAAACCTGAGGAAAACAAGCAATGGGGAAAGGATTCCCTATTTAATAAATGGTGCTGGGAAAACTGGCTAGCCATATGTAGAAAGCTGAAACTGGATCCCTTCCTTACACCTTATACAAAAATCAATTCAAGATGGATTAAAGACTTAAACGTTAGACCTAAAACCATAAAAACCCTAGAAGAAAACCTAGGCATTACCATTCAGGACATAGGCATGGGCAAGGACTTCATGTCTAAAACACCAAAAGCAATGGCAACAAAAGCCAAAATTGACAAATCGGATCTCATTAAACTAAAGAGCTTCTGCACAGCAAAAGAAACTACCAGCAGAGTGAACAGGCAACCTACAGAATGGGAGAAAATTTTTGCAACCTACTCATCTGACAAAGGGCTAATATCCAGAATCTACAATGAACTCAAACAAATTTACAAGAAAAAAACAAACAACCCCATCAAAAAGTGGGCGAAGGACATGAACAGACACTTCTCAAAAGAAGACATTTATGCAGCCAAAAAACACATGAAAAAATGCTCATCATCACTGGCCATCAGAGAAATGCAAATCAAAACCACTATGAGATATCATCTCACACCAGTTAGAATGGCAATCATTAAAAAGTCAGGAAACAACAGGTGCTGGAGAGGATGTGGAGAAATAGGAACACTTTTACACTGTTGCTGGGACTGTAAACTAGTTCAACCATTGTGGAAGTCAGTGTGGCGATTCCTCAGGGATCTAGAACTAGAAATACCATTTGACCCAGCCATCCCATTACTGGGTATATACCCAAATGACTATAAATCATGCTGCTATAAAGACACATGCACACGTATGTTTATTGCAGCATTATTCACAATAGCGAAGACTTGGAACCAACCCAAATGTCCAACAATGATAGACTGGATTAAGAAAATGTGGCACATATACACCATGGAATACTATGCAGCCATAAAAAATGATGAGTTCATGTCCTTTGTAGGGACATGGATGAAATTGGAAATCATCATTCTCAGTAAACTATCACAAGAACAAAAAACCAAACACCGTATATTCTCACTCATAGGTGGGAATTGAACAATGAGATCACATGGACACATGAAGGGGAATATCACACTCTGGGGACTGTGGTGGGGTGGGGGGAGGGGGGAGGGATAGCATTGGGAGATATACCTAAGGCTAGATGACGAGTTAGTGGGTGCAGCGCACCAGCATGGCACATGTATACATATGTAACTAACCTGCACAATGTGCACATGTACCCTAAAACTTAAAGTATAATAAAAAAAAAATAAAACCATTTAGAGGACTTATTTAGGAGGCACACCATCCAAAGAATAAGAATTTCATAAAGGAAGACTTAAGAAAATTGAGATGGGGGAGTTTTCAAAGGATAAATTCAAACAATTTCTATCAAACTAAAGAATGTGATTTTACAGACTGAAGTACCTTACGCATGCTCAACACAATGCATAGTAATAGATTCATGACCATTTGATTCATCATTATGAAATGTCAAAATTTCAGAAAACCAGGAAAAAACAAAGAAGGTCCTATAAACTTTCAAAGAGAATTAAAAAAAAAGATTGGAGCAAAATCTTGAAAGTTTTGGGGAAAAATATTATTTCTAACCCAGATTCTATACACACTCAAACTGTCAATCAGGTCTGAGAATGTGGTGAGATAGATTTCTTCAAGATGAAAGTGACAGAACATCTTATTATTAGAGCACAATGAGAGAAATTTACCCAGTGGGGGAGAGTTTGAGGTTGAATTAATGATATGTAAATAGAAAATTAACCAAATTTTTATATGGTTAGAGTATGTTTAGTTTTGTAAGAAACTGCAAACCATACTATTTTGCATTCCCACCAATAACAAATGAGACTTCCTGCCGCTCCACATCCTTGCCAGCATTTGGTGGTGTGAATGTTTGAATTTTAGTCATTCTACTACGTATGTAGTGGCATCTTCTTGCTGTTTTAACTCCCAATTCCCTCATGACCTATTATGTTAAGCTTGTCTTCAAATGGGTATTTGCCATCAGCGTATATCTTCTTTGGTGAGGTGTCTGTTCAGGTATTTTACCCATTTGTTAATTGGGTTGTTGTTTTCTTATTGTTAAGTTTTAAAAGGTTCTTTTGTGTGTGTACTTTGGATGCCAGTCCAATAACCTTTATCAGATATGTGTTTTGCTAACATTTTCTTGCAGCCTGCAGCAGGTACTTTCATGCTTTTAGCAGTTTTTTGTTCAGATAAATTTTTGATTGAATAAAACGAAATTTTTAAAAATGTGGAATAACTTTCCATTTCAAAAGAAAACCAAACTTTCTAGAAAAAAGAAAAATACTAATAATACATCTCTACTCTTAGTGTTTATATAGTTTAACTAACGTGAACAATATATGTATTTAACCAAATTATGATATAATTATATTAGAAGAATTGTGGAACAGGAATGTTTGTGCGTCTGTGTGATATTAATGCCAGTGAAAGACACTAAATCATCTTCTTCCATTTTGAAAACTGAAGAGACAATGCCCAAAATCAAATAATCAAGAAACAGCAGTATAATCATATGATTAAAAGTTATTGGCCGGGCATGGTGGCGGCTCACGCCTGTAATCCCAGCACTTTGGGAGGCCGAAGCGGGTGGATCATGAGGTCAGGAGTTCAAGACCAGCCTGACCAACATGGTAAAACCCCGTCTCTATTAAAAATACAAAAATTAGCCAGGTGTGGTGACGGACGCCTGTAATACTAGCTACTTGGGAGGCTTGAGGCAGGAGAATCGCTTGAACCCAGGAGGCAGAGGTTGCAGTGAGCCAAGATCATGCCACTGCACTCCAGTCTGGGCAACAGAGCGAAACTCCATCTCAAAAAAAAAAAAAAAAAAAAAGTTATTGCAACAAGTCCCAAAAGAATCTACTGCAAACATCAAAAATAGTTGCTTCTAAAAAGCAGGAGATTGGAGACGTGAAGGTGAACAATTTTTTTTAACAAGCTTTGTGGAATTATTCTTTATATACATACATAATATATAAAAAACTAAATGTTAAAAATGAAGATGAATATCTTCTCAGAGAGAGAATAGGGGGCGCGGGACTGTGTTCTTTGCAGATTGACTTGCATATGAGCAAATATGAAGATGAAACAGATCTTAGTCTTTCAGATTTGTGCCAACAGTCACCATGTCTGGTATAGAGATGGTTGTCTTAGATGGGTTTTTCTAGAAGCAAAATTTGACACAAGGATTTGAGTCCAAATAGTTTATATGGGAAATAGTGAGAACACTGGTAAGGCATTGCGGAAATCACACAGGGAAATAAAGCTTGCCAATAAGGGGAACTCATTAAATCAGCTACCACAGTGGATGACAACAGCTTAATCATGTGGGAGAAATTCTGGTAAATGGTGCAAAACTGTGCGTGATGTACTGAAAGATCAGAGGGATAGGGCAAGGCACCGACAGAGTCTGCTATGATTGTAACAGGAGGAGGTAGAAATTAAACAGGAATGGTGACTCCATATAATTTGGCTTCCTATTTCTGTGACTCTACACACTGAAGATATCAATCAAATCATAGAGTGCTATTTTAAATAGAAGGAAGCTCAATTTTCAATCACATATAACTGAAACCATAGTATAACTTTTTAAGTATTTTAATTCGTGCTGTTTGGGGTATTCAAATATATCCTGAATTTAAACTATAGTAACCCTGAACCCAGTATTCATTTGCAAAAACTATCAACATCTACATGATTAAATACTATTTTCCAGCAAACATTCCAAAAAGTTGCTTCTGTGAACAGTATGAATAGAAAAGTCTAGAGAAAGAGGTAAAACTTTTAAAAATAAACTATAGGCTGAATCCATAATATGAGACATTCTATTGTACAAGATATCTATGTCTTGAACATGTGAATATCATGAAAAAATAATCCATGACATTCAAAAAACAACATGAGAGAGGCTGAAAAACCAGTCTAGACTGAAAAAGATGTAACACCAAAATGCAATGCCTAGACAGTGACTGGATCCTTCTGTAAGAGATATTTGGGGACAATTAAGTAGTTATTAACATGGACTCACTCACAGCTGGTATTAAGAAATCTTTATTAACTTGGTGAGGTGTGATGATGGATTCGTGATGCCATTTTATATGATTTGACTATGTGTCCCCACCCAAGTCTCATCTTGAATTGTAATCCTCACTTGTCGAGGGAGGGACCTGGTGGGAGGGATTGGATCGTGGTGATGGTTCCCCATGCTGTTCTCATGATAGTGAGGAAGTTCTCATGAGAACTGATGATTTAAAGTGGCAGTTTCCCCTGCTGTCTCTCTCTCTATCTCTTCTCCCTCCCTCTCTCCCTCTCTCTCTCTCTCTCTCTCTCTCTCTCCGGCCACCTTGTGAAGAAGGCACCTGCTTCCCCTTTGCCTTCCACCATAATTGTAGCTTTCCTGAGGCCTCCCCAGCCATGCAGAACTGTGAGTCAATTAAACCTCTTTCCTTTATAAATTAACCAGTCTTAGGCAGTTCTTTATAGCAGTGTGAAAATGGACCAATACAGGAAATTGGTACTGAGATAACCTGAAAATGTGGAAGTGACTTTGGAACTGGGTAACGGGCAGAGGTTGGAACAATTTAGAGCGCTCAGAAAAAGAGAGAATGATGTAGGGCAGTTTAGAACTTCCTAGAGACTTTTGAATGGTTGTGACCAAAATGCTTATGGTGATATGGACAGTGAAGTCCAGACTGAGATGGTCCCAGATGGAGATGAGGAAATTTTTGGGAACTAGAGTAAAGGTCACTCATGTTATGATCTAGCAAAGAGCGTAGCAAAATTTTGCCCCTACCCTAGAGATCTGTAGAATTTTGAACTTGAGAGAGATGATTTAAGGTATCTGGTGGAAGAAATTTCTAAGCAGCAAATCATTCAAGATGTGACCTGGCTGTTTCTGAAAGTGTTCAGTCATATGTATTCACAAAGAGGTGGTTTGAATTTGGAACGTATGTTTAAAAGGGAAGCAGAGAATAAAAGTTTGGAAAATTTGAAGCCTGCTCATGTGGTAGAAAACAAAAACCCATTTTTCTGGGGAGAAATTCAAGCCAGCTGCAGAAATTTTCATAAGTAATGAGGAGACAAATGTTAACAGCCAAGACAATGAGGAAAATGTCCACAGCACATGTAAGAGATCTTTACAGCAGCTCCTACCATCACAGACCTGGAGGCCTAGGAGAAGAAAAATGGCTTCATGGGCTGGTCCAGGGACCAGCTGCTGTGTGTAGCCTTGCGACTTGGTGCCCTGTTTCCCAGGCGCTCCAGTTTCAGCTGTGGCTAAAAGGGTCCAAAATGCAGCTCTGCTGTTCCTTCAAAGGGTACAAGCCCCAAGCCTTGGTGGCTTTTATGTGGTATTGGGCCTGTGGGTGCCCAGAGGTCAGGAATTGAGGCTTGGAAGCCTCCACCTAGATTTCAGAGCATGTATGGAAATGCCTGGATATCCCTCCGCTAGGGCAGTGTGGAAGGAAAATGTGGGGTTGGAGCCCCTACACAGATTCCTTACTGGGGCACCACCTAATGGAGTTGTGAGAAGAGGGTCACTGTCCTCCAGACCCCGGAATGGTAGATCCACTGACAGCTTGCATTGTGCATGTAGAAAAGCCACAGGCACTCAATGCCAGCCTGTGAAAGTGACCCCAGGGGCTGTGCCCTGCAGAGCCACAGGAGTGGAGCTGCCTAATGCCTTGGGAGCCCATCCTTTGCATCAGCATGCCTTGGATGTGAGACATGGAGACAAAGGAAATCATTTTGGAATTTTAAGCTCTAATGATCGCCCTACTGGGTTGTGAACTTTCATGGGGCCCCTTTGTTTTGGTCAATTTCTCCCATGTGGAATGTGAACATTTACCCAATGCTTGTAACCCCCATTGTTTCTTGGAAGTAAGTAACTTGTTTTTTATTTTACCAGCTCATAGGCAGAAAGAACTTGCCTTGTCTCAGATGAGACTTTGTACTTAGACTTTTGAGTTAATGCTGGAATGAGTTAAGACTTTGGGGGACTGTTGAAAAGGCACAGTTGGTTTTGAAATGTGAAAAAGACATGAAACTTGGGAGGGGCCAGTGGCAGAATGATACGGTTTGGCCCTGTATCCCCACCCAAATTTCATCTTGAATTGTAATCCCCACATGTCAAGGGAGGGAGCTGGTGGGAGGTGACTGGATCATGGGGATGGTTTCCCCCGTGCTGTTCTCATGACAGTGAAGAGGTCTTCATGCGATCTGATGGTTTAAAAGTGGCAGCTTCCCCTGCCCTCTCTCTCTCTCTCTCTGTCCGGCCACCTTGTGAAGAAGATGCCTGTTTCCCCCTTGCCTTCTGCCATGATTGTAAGTTTCCTCAGGCCCCCCGAGCCATGCAGAACTATGAGTCAATTAAACGTCTTCCATTTATAAATTACCCAGTCTCAGGCAGTTCTTTATAGACTAACAAATAGCAGAATGATATGGTTTGGCTCTGTGTCCCCACCCAAATTTCATCTGGAATTGTAGTCCCCACATGTCAAGAGAGGGACTTGGTGGGAGGTGATTGGATTGTGGGGATGGTTTCCCCCATGCTGTTCTCATGACAGTGAGGAGGTCCTCATGAGATCTGATGGTTTAAAAGTGGCAGCTTCCCCTGCCCTCTCTCTGTCTCCAGCCACCTTGTGAAGAAGGTGCCTGCTTCCCCCTTGCCTTCTGCCATGATTGCAAGTTTCCTCAGGCCCCCACAACCATGCAGAACTATGAGTCAATTAAACATCTTCCATTTATAAATTACCCAGTCTCAGGCAGTTCTTTATAGACTAATACACCATTGCATAATGAAGTATTTAGGAGCGAAGTGTCATGATGTCTGTCGTTTACACAAAAATGTTTCAGGAAAAGAAACAATAGGTAGTACATCTAGCTTATCAGATATATGCTATTCATCATCCTATCCCCTGTATCTTTGTGTATATTTGAAAACCGTTCTATCGCAAAGTTTAAAAAGTTACATGGACCCAGAAAAACTTAGTGGAACTTTTTTTAGTTTTAAAAATATTTCTTACATATATATATATATATATATATATATATATATATATATATATATATATTTGCATTTATGAGATTCAAAAAATATCACAGAATCATAGAATTTGCAAACTCTAAGGACTCATACGTAGAGAAATCACGGATCACAGAATTGAAATGAGTTGCCTAAACTGACAATGCAATTTATTTGCAGAAACAATAGTGATTTGAATATATGTCCTTTTCTCCTGATGTCCAATATTTCCTTGAAAATGAGATTCATATCTAATTAATCTCTGTCATCTTTTCAGTCCCCAGAACATATCCATTGGATTTAAAATACATCAATATTTTGTTTATAGAATAATTTTATCTGTTTTCCAAATCATTGTCATAGAAAGTATCCAGTTTTCCTCAATGAAGAAAAATAAGGTCAAATAACTTTCAAATCAAACATTTGTAGTTTGCTAAAATTATTTTGCAATTCGTAACTGAAAACAGAACAGTAAACAGCAGGTGTAAAAAGTAGTAAAAAGTTAGCCATATGATTCCTGGGGTTTTTTTTGTTTGTTTGTTTAAATTGATGTACGTTACCTTCTCCATCTACTCTTTAACTTGAAAATACCAACATTTAAGTTCAGCAACACTCAGTTGCCAACCAAAAAAAAGATGTTAAATTTTCAAAGTATGATTCTTTAGAAGGAAGTTCAACCTCATCAATTAATCCTCATTTTTCATAATAAAAAATGTGGGCAGCTGCTGAATCAGGTACTTGGACAAACATCGCTGCCTATTTTGTAAAATCAGCTGTAGAACATTTGTGCATGGAAAGAGTAGCTGATTTTGCAAGATGTTGAAATATACAAACTACACATGGTTCAGTGTATTTCTCACTGTATTGTTATTTTCAACCAAGAAAACACATTAGGCATTTGTCTCAACCCTCTCTGACTAATGTTTTCTTTATGCAAATTATTGTCTTAAACATACAGCATTTGACTTATTTCTATAACAGAGAAAAAAGAACTACTTGGGCTGGGCGCAGTGGCTCATGCCTGTAATCCCAGCACTTTAGGAGGCTGAGGCTAGTGGATCACCTGAGGTCAGCAGCTCAAGACCAGCCTGGCCAACGTGGGGAAACTCCGTCTCTACTAAAAATACAAAAATTAGCAGGGCATGGTGGCAGGCACCTGTAATCCCAGCTACTCGGGAGGCTGAGGCAGGAGAATCACTTGAACCTGGGATGCAGAGGTTGCAGTGAGCCAACGTCACGCCATTGCACTCCAGCCTTGGCAACAAGAATGAAACTCTGTCTGAAAAAAAGAAAAAAAAAAAAAAAGAACTACTTATCCTCAAGATATGCATTGCTAAAGTTTTAGTGATAAGAAAAAAAAATTGGTATCAATAATTATATTTTTCATTTTACAAAACAAATAGAATTTGCTTATAAACAAGATACTTGCTGTCTATTGACTTATCCTATACATGTCTTACTGTCAAAAGGAAGTACTGCAAGATATCAATTTGCTGTCACTTTCATACCATGCATAGTGTTCTTATGGTATATTAGAAAATTAGTTTTTAAAGTTTTCTAGAAAATTTTCTATCCTAAAGTAGGGAAGAAAAAGGAAGTCAACACTAGATTCTCTTTTATAAAAAATAAAAAGGTAATTTTTATCTTACTTATTATTGTAACTTCTCCTTTAAAAAATGTTCTCTCTCCTCTAAATTAGAAATCAGAGTTATTTCTTTAATATTTAGATGTTTTAAATTCATCCATCTATATATATGTACTTAATATCTAGACTTCTTAGGGGAACATAGTGTTATTAAGAATGGCTTATTTCCTTAGAAAAATAGAGGTGATAAAGTTGAAGTTTTTGAACATTACAGTATTACATCACATCATAGAATAATTTTACACAGATATATGTGAATACCTAAAAGTTAATATACGATATTCTAAAGCACAGAATGTTAGGATCAATGGATGCAGACAGAGTATTAATAGATGAATGTAGTATGTAAATCTGAATACGCAATAAAATTGTAAAGTATAATTTTTACAAAAAGAAATAGTGGTTTTGAGAACAACAGTTTAAAACAATGATTGCTGTGGGACATAAAACATCCAAAACATTGAGATATTCTCCATAGATATTAAAACAGAGAACAAGAAATTTTTTATCCATTTAACTATTTTCTACAATGGGGAAAATGCTCAAATTAATCAATGGCTCTCGTACTTTTTCAGTTACTAATAATTGACAGAAAATAACATTTAAAATAGTAATAAGAAAATATGAAAATCCTCAGGAGGAAAGAGAGGGGATTATATTAAAGAATATCTTCATACTTAAAACACCCCTGTCTTTGCAGAGCATAATGCAATGTTGCTCAAAGAACTGGAGATACCAACTGAAGTATCCAATCTATTGATAGTCCTTGGATTTTTGATAAAATGTTCTTGATAAGGTAGAAATGGTTATTAATATTTTAAAATATACATATGTCTAGGGTCTTATATTTATTCCTGTATGTTTGGATTTTCCAAGCATGTGTGTTTAAACTAACACTCTTTTAGGCAATGCCTTTCCTCAGGTGTCTTGACTATATTTGTCACTTTAGTACTATGAAGGTAAAAAGAGTAAAGAAAGTAGGAAAGTATATTTCTAGGATAATAACAAGCTCCTGGGAGATGCTGGACTCTTGTTAATGGCAGCCTTTTTAAAACTTCTCTCCCAGATATGAGGTCATTGAGCCTCAAAGAGGACGGTAAGAACAACATAAAGTTACCAAGTGCTCCCGTCATGACTTGAGGGACTTCCCCAAGAAATCATGAAATGTCTTGGCAACAGTCACACTGATTGGTGGATTTGGCTACTTTATCAAAGTTTCTTAGTATTTAGGCTGTTCTTTTGGAGCAAAGAAATAGATTGTTAGCTCTACCTGTCCACTAGTGTGTATAACCCTTCATCTGTTTTGGATGGTAGTTTATCGTACAATGTTTTGATGGTTAGAACGTCGTAGAAATTTTCCAAGGCATTATACTTATATAGTGGGAATAATATATACTGGGGAACTCATGACAAAAAACCAAAGCAAAAACCAAAACAAAACATTACATAAAAATGATAAGAAGAGGCTTCAAGAACTGAGCACACACACGAATAAACTTTACAATAACAATATTTTTAGTAGTATAAATGTGTTTCTGCCCTGACATTTTTCTACATGTTGTCTATCAGCCTATCTTTACCTAACATTGTCTGTTTTTACACACACCTTTTGATGATGTCATGGAAATAAAGCAAAGTACTAAGATGGACACCTTTTTTAAAAACATGAAAACCTTTCACCTTTAATTACTTTCTACTTAAGCTTTTAGAAACACCTTCAAACATCTAGATATTGCAGCAGCCACTTTGCCTGCTACAAGCGCACATGGTCAGTGGGTCAGTGAAAAAGGATGCAGCAACATTAACCCCACTGTTCCAAGAAGTCAGATTGACTCCCTTCTTCCATGAAGTCCTCCCCAGCATCCCAGCCCAAGTTGATGTCCTCTTTTTTTGAATTCATCTTTCTTTCCTCTTCATGCAAATTTTTAGATACTTTGGTTTTTGGCATTTTTAAAATGCCATCACCGAAAGGACATTTAGCTGTCATTCAAATCCACCTGCTTCATTTTACCAATAATTAAACTGAGTCCAAGAGAATGTATGTTACTTACAGAGTTGTAGTGGAGCTGGGACTAACAAACTTTAGCTTCTGACTCCCATTTACACATTTTTTTATAGTACATTACAGACAATCTAAGATTTACTATGTTAATATTAAATTCTTCCTATATATGATTTTTTTCTACTGAGAGGACGGTCAGTTACTTAAGAGCAGGTATCACATTTCATAATTCTTTTGCATAATGTGCAGTACCTAAAATAGTAAAGTGCATACAATAGGTTTAATTGAAGTAAGTTGAATGAATTAAAACATCTTATTGCAAGGTAAATATACTGTGTTACAGTATAATGATGTCAAGGGAAATATTATTCTCTCATGAGTCACGCCCTGAAGCTTCTAAAAATTTTTTTCTCCATTATTCTAGAATACTAGTGAAAGTTCTCTGATTTTTATATGAACACTTACTCAACATAACTCAACATTAGGTATTATTAGCTATAATAATATTAGCATTATATAAGATATTGGGAGGCAGAATTTGAGTACTGTCTTGGAAATCAACATTGAGGGCTACAAAATATTCAGAATCCTTTAAGCAAGACAATGTAGTTACCTTTCAAAAGGGCAGTTCTAGGATTCCATTGTTCCCTGGAACAATTACAGCTTTAAACTAACTAGTAATGAAACTGATTATTTTCTTTTCTCTTTCAGATTCCTACAGTGTGTTGCTTATTATGCATTTCCATTTGTTCCTTTTATGACACTTGTACATTTCAAAATCAATTGAAAAACGCCATTGTCTTAGCTTGTGTTCCTGGGTCTTAAAATCAAACAAAGGGAATTACCAAACCTGAATACCAGTCTCCAAGCATTGCTCCTTTTGGGACATTATATCTTGTTTAAAAGTACCATAGAATAGTTTAAGAGAATATTTCTCCTGTTAATTTATGTATTTTTACTCCTGGAAAAAAATATAAATGTAATCATTAGTTTACCATACATAATAATTCAAAAAAAAAGATTCTGAAAACAACCCAGCCCACAACTGTCCTGCTGTTCGCCAAAATGTTTAGAAACTTCTAGAGCCTCCTTTCTTCTATCGATTCCTTGTAATGAAAAAGGCCAAGACATTAGAAGACTCAGAGGAATTTTTTCTTTTTTCTGCTTCTTTGGGAGAAGGAACTACATTTCTTATACCCAAAGTGACGGGTTAGAAAGCTGACAATATGGACCTCAGTTCATTATGAATAAAATGACCAACCTAAAGCCCAGAGAGAGGCTCCCCTGCAGCCCCGGGACTGATCTTGCTCATACTAGGGAAAACCTCAGGCTGCTCTAAGAACGGTGCTAAAAAATGCATAAGCGGAACTTCTCTATGTTCATATTCACGCAATTACTTTACAGTGGTGTTCTACCTTGTCTTCTGACATGAAGAGGATTAGATGAATTATGTTGCTGGTTTTTGTTTAGGAGGTAAACTGAAGTCTCTGGAGACTAGGGTGAAAAGTTACTTTTGTTGTTCTGGGGTTTTCTTAGATGGTTGAACTGAAGCATTGTTTTTTAGTGTCTAGAAAAGTTCCCTCACATCACAATTATTTAAAAGACTATGGGGATGTATATATTATAGGTAGAAATGCATTTTAAAATATATTAAATATATATATTTGAGGTAGAGGTAAAGGGGTCTGATATGGTTTCGCTGTGTTCCCACCCAAATCTCGTCTTGAATTGTAGTTTCCATAACCCCCATGTGCCATGGGAGGGACCCAGTGGGAGGTAGCTGAATCATGGGGGCAGCTACTCTCATGTTGTTCTCATGATAGCGAGTGAGTTCTCACGAGATCTGATGGCTTTATAAGGGGCTTTCCCCCATTTTGCTTAGCACTTCTCCTTCCTGCCGTCATGTGAAGAAGGATGTGTTTGCTTCCCCTTCTGCTGTGATTGTAAGTTTCCCGAGGCCTCCTCAGCCATGCTGAACCATGAGTCAATTAAACCTCTTTCCTTTATAAATTATCCAGTCTTGGGTACGTCTTTATTAGCAGCATGAGAGTGGACTAATACAGGTCAATATCTGTATTATTTCGTCCTTCAGCAAATCTTGCGGAGGCTTATTACAAAGAAGGATAAATGTTTTGTAGTGATTTGTGCAGATTTAAGCATATGATCAAAGTTTCTCCTTATGTGTGTGTCTGGCATTTCTAGGTCTTCTTTACAGATAAATGTGCAGGGCCAGCTGGAGACAGGTGCAATCAGTGTGCTAGCATCTGGCTTCCTGCTTTGGCTCCAATCATACAAGTAGCTTTACTTCAGCAAAGCAAATTAGTAAGGGATCACAGTTCTGATGCTCAACAAAACCAGACAAGCCTAAAGGAAACTAGGAAAAAACAAGAACAAAAGCCCACTGAAACGTGGGTCAGCGCAATGAGTGCCAGGAGCTCCCGGGTTCCGCTCCTGCTCTTCAGCTGTCCTCTCCCTTTGCCTGACCGAGTGATGGTCCTTGCCATTCCATTCTCTGTGATGTATCTTGTCTCCCTGACTCCTCAAGCCGCTTCTGTCTATGTCTACAAAGGCAATGGCATATATTTGTCCAGGGTGCTTGGGGCACGGGTGGGCTTGCCTTTCCATTTCTTTTGCAATGTTGGTGCTAATGACCTTATAATTGTCCTGACTTCTCAATGAAGGGTGAAGTACTCAGAGCATGTCAAAACACTGTCAAGTGCCATTTGAGATACTGCGGTAGTCTCTGTGCCTTGCATCTCTGGGTTTTGTATAACAAGAATTAGGGCTACTGTATGAAAAGGTAGGTTGTGGGAGGCACTCTTTGTGTAGAAAAGAACTGTTATAAACGGTTTTAAATAGATTTTTGAATGAAAATTTATGGCAAAATGAGGGGTGGAAGGGAGATTTCCCAGGATAAGCTTTTCATGAAAGTCCTAGTCTAGCATCTTATATACTGGGAATCCAGCAGTTTTGTGGGAACCCACAAAACTCTGGGACAGGAAGCCAGATTGAATACAGTGGTCGGAAGAACCATGGCTGTGGCCATGAGAGATGGACAAGGAGAGTAAAAGGAATTTTTTAATTTCTTTCTTGGTGTTGTTTTATAGGATGAATGCTGTGCAGCTTTGTTGGTTTGAAGGAACTAAGGAGGAAGTAGAAAACAAAAGAAATAAATGCAGTATCCATACATACTGTTGTTGTAAAAGTAATTTTGAATGAGAAGGAGCAACAACATTGTTTTATCAGTGACAAGTACTGACCAAAGACCTCTTTCTTGAAAGACAGTTGAGATAACCCACTCCAGTGCCAATCAACGTGCATGTGAAATAGAGCAGTACCCATAGCCAGTGCCCAGGCAGGGCTCCAGCCATGACTGTAACCATTGTTCACCTTGATGGAAACACGTTGAGCATCAGCTTTTTAATGGTGGTGGACTAGATGATTTGTAAGGACCTTTCAGCTCTATTGTAACTGAAGTTCATGAGTTCAGAAGTCAGTGGTGTGATTTTGATTATTCCTGCCTACTAGAAGAAATTCCTTGAGATATAGAAAAAGAAAGTAGGATTTCACACTCACCTTAAAAACCTTTTTAAAGAGACCTATATCATCTAAATCATTTCCAAAAAAATCCAAATTTTAAGAAGGTAAATAAAATAATTATGAAATTAACCATCTCATTATGGTTGATGTGTTGAAATATTTTATTTTAAATAGAAAAAAAAACCCATGAGTTTAACATACCCTGTCTCCTTTATAATCTTGGGCAAGTAATTTAAGCTCTCTGACCTCAGTTTTCTTATCTATAAAGCAACAACAAGATTTGTTTCATAGAAATTTTTGGAAGATTAAGTAAAATGGTATCTACAAAGTGGTCAGCAGAGTGATAAAAGCAGGTGATCGGTATTTTAATACTATATGTGGAATTTTAAAAACAGTTAAAATTGTACATTCATCCTACATTAGGTGACCTGGGGTATATTTTTATATTATAAACTCTTATTTTATCATCTCTAAGTTATCATTGATTTTATGATGCACTATTACTTTGTGTATCACTAAGAAAAATAATAACTGTCAAACTATGACACAATGCTCAGATGCCACCGTTTGTAAGATAAATCCAAATTTCAAAAGGGCTAGAATTTGAGAAGCACGCATCTTAAAATGATTACATATAGAGTTCTAGATTTCTTATTTTAAATTATATGTAGGATACATTTTAACATAGTTGACATTAAGTTCTTATTAAAGTTCTACATGAAGACATGTCCTGTTTTATATGTCTGAAATATTAAAAAGGATACATGATTATATTGTAATTTTTATAGAAATGGTTCAATCCCACTATGATGTTCATCAGGTCATAGATTTGCTTACTTCATCCTCCCAAGTAGAAGTAAATTCTTTAAGGGCAAGGATCTTATCACGAATTGCTATACAACATCTCTATCATTCAGCACCTAGACTTAATTTATAGTAGATATTCCATACATATTTTAATTGGTTTATGAAAGTGTCTTCATAGACACTAAAATTATAGTCATTTAACAGTGATTAAATTGTCTCATATTAGTGTTTTTGTTTTTGCTTGTTTGAATTTGTTCATTAAATATTGTACCATACATGAGACAATTGATATTTCTTCTTAGACTTGAACTTGGTGACAGACCCCAGACCCTATTGATTTCTATTTACTCAAATAAATGCAACACTTGGTGATTAGAGAAACACGGTAACTGTTTCTTTGTGGATGAACAAATGATTTTGACTTTAGAATGCCTCTGTGTCATTGAGAGCCAGACATGATATCAAGCATTGCCTAAGCATACCCCTGAAATGATGCCTAATCTCTTATTTTTATCTGGTTTCCTAGGAAGCGGTGGCTTTGTCTTCACATTTTGTGTAGCCATACTGTTAAAGCCTGCTGGATTTTCAGGGGCCAGTAAGTAGTCTTTAGTAATACTAGTTGTCATAATTATATTTTCAGCTTGATGGAAGGAATATATTCTTGTAATGCCAAATTATTGTGTTTGAAAATTATTCATATTGCCTTACCTGTGTTTCCCAATGCTAGAATTAAAAATTTGAAATTATAACCTAACCATAAGTCAGTAATAACAGAGGATAGTTTAGAGAGAAAAGGTTTGGTATTTGGGGTCACAAATCTTGAGTTTGATTTTCATCACCTTCCTCCGTTGTGACATGGACCAGGTCATTCAACTTGAGGTGAGACTCAAGTGAGATGCATGTACATTTGTTAGGTAAGCTGTAAGTTGTAACATACAACTATATATTTGGATTATAATAGTGGCAAACTGCTTATTTTTCTCTTAGACAGATATATAAATGATAATTTGAACATGGTTACAAAACGTAAAGTTACCTCTAATTTTGGTACAAACTCGACTTTTCCAACTGCAGTGAAACTCCAGTACAAACAGATTATGTCATTGAAGCTTCATATATAAATATAATTATGTTATGTACTTTAATGATTTCAAACGAATAAAGTCTTTCTAAGATGATCTTCTCAATGTAACATGATCCATGATATTTTTGAAACTCTTGAAAAGGAAAAAAAAATTGCCTGAGGAAGTGAAACAGTCAGTTTTCATATTGGCATGCTATTTCATGACCATCAGGTGAAAACTTTTCAGGTTTAATGCTTTATAATTCTCCCAGCTGAAGCTTTAGAACTTCAAAGCACTGTAGAACATTTCAAATTTCTCTTCTGCCCATGAGAAAACCCTTTGCATTGAAAGTTGCTTTCAACTGGAATCCTACATTTGGTATTACACAACAGTGACATATTTTTACGAGATTAAAATTACACACCAAGAATGCTAAGTTGCCCAAGCAAAACCATTTCTACTATTAAAAATGTTCCCACTATACACTATGAAGAGCTATGACCTTTTCTTGTCCGTAAATAATGCTTACTATAATAAATGTAAGAACCATTTATAAATTCCATATTTGCCTAAGAAATACCCATCTTCTAACCACCTGTAATTTACAAAGAGGATTTACTTAAGCATAATTATGTTTCCTTTAACTAGTAAACAATAAATCTACCACTGATTGTAAAGACAGGCGATCAGTGGGTATTATGAAGAAAATGACATGAAAATCAATATGTAATTCCTGGGAAAAGGGCACACTATACTTTTAATTTGAAATCTACCAACGGCTAAGTCATGAATATAAAACTTGCCTCTGTCAAAATAATTTGTTTGCTGTAAAACTAGGAATCATCCTTGGTTATCTAATACTTCAAGAAACAGTGTATTAGCCCCTCTCAGAATCTGTGTGACGCTGGCCCCCTTTGGCAACTAAAAGAGCTCTTTGAACCATAGAACAGATGTAATGAAAATTGGTTCCATTAAATGCAGCTGGTAAATTACAAACTGAGAAATTAATGCGCCATACCACGACTCTAGGGGCTAAAATGAATCAAGGTGTGGTTGCCAGATGCTCACGTTTCATCACCACCACCCCCAATAAAAACATCTCTGTTTATAGATTTGTTTACTAGAACATAAATTATTCATTTAGGCAATGCAAATTATGAGATCATGATGAGGATTAATCCACTAACACAATAATTGTGTTATATTCAAGTAATAAAATTTTAAAAGAAATAAAACCTACACCATGTAATTCTTAAACACTCCTTTAGCTTAGGAAATGCACTGGATTTCCAGGAATACTCACTATCCTATGATATGCTGTCTCTGAATTCCAGTGGGAAGGGAAAGCTGATTTGATACCATCCATAAACAGCATGCTCCTTTGTTGATCTCAATTCAATTTATTCCAACTTGATGTGCTGCTGATGGCTCTACTAGTAGAACCTGACAAAAGTCCATTTAGCATCTGTTTTTGAGGTGCTCTTCAATGGTTCTGAGTAGTCCTCTTGAGTCATTAGCTAAACATTGTTTCAAAGAACTACACTTGCAAGAACCCCCCTGTGAAGACTTGAGGGGAGGGAACTGAAAGCATATTCCTAGGTAATTCAGGCAACCCCTGGGATATTTCTCCCCTCCTTTCCCTTCTTAAAATAAATAAATAAACAAATAATTGCTGGAGGCTGGGTTTTGTTAGACTTCTATTGCATTGCAGGTGTACAAGTAAAACATTCTGGAACTAAGATGGTTCAACTTTGCTTATTTGAAAAAATCTAGATTTCTTATTAGCCATTTAATGTAGCTAGTTGGTTCATTATTTTCAAAGAAAATGAAATTTAGTCATTTAAAACATGTTTTTGTAGTAACTAATTCGGTTCCACAGTGGAAGATAGAGGAAATGAATAGAAAGGGTTCAAAAGGGGATAGAATTATTGGCAAAATTTGATTTTCTAAGCAGAATAATAGGTATATGGGTATTATTGCACTTTATTTTTTGTATGTCCCAAATGCTGCATAATAATATTAAAATTTAAAAATGTTTTAATGGGCTTATAGTAAAAAATGTTATGAAGAGAAAAATTTTTGGGGGGTGGGGGTCATTATTAATATCCTAATTTTCTCCCTCACTGAAGTAATTTTGAATTTTCTGGGATTCAAACAGAGAACAAAGATATACTGGATTATTTGGGTAAATGTTTGAGTGTTCTATTTTTCTTCACCTAAAATATGTGGCCACATACATATACACCCTGAGTGTTTTATTTACATATAATATGGAATTCATTTTCTTCATACCTTCATGATATAAAGCTATTTTGTAATCCACAAAAATAGCCTGGACAAGAATATGACATAGTTTGATTTAGGAATTGCAACAATAAATAATGATCTAATTGCGATAATAATGTAGTCCCATTTTCTTAAACTAAACTTTGTATACACAAATGATTTTGTATTGCATTAACATGTCCCTCTCGTATTCTTTTAAAGCAGCTGTTAGGCACACAATAAGTGAGTACCTTTAATTCGTATACACAAAGAAAAGTGTTATAGTAAAATGAAAAACATATACATTTTAAGCACACGTGATACACACCACACATTCTATAGTAACTAGTTACTGTGTGTAGGTTGGGGTGGCCTAGTTACTTTTCTGTCCAATACAACACTATTCTAATTAGAGCACTGCATCATACAGAATTACACTACTTCCAGATAAAGAACTTTTTGTAAAGTGCACAGATATTGCAATATGCATGCTGTATGCTTTATAGCTGTTATAAGCATGCAGCAGTGACAATTTTCCATTGTTTTATAGTAGCATTATTTCCACATACAGAGACATACACACTAAACGCATGCAATTGCCCGCATATTCGATATGCTTTACAATACCTATATTTCACCATTAGCAATTTGTCCTTTGAATCAAATTGAAATTCTTTTTGAAGTACAGATATGTTATTTTCATACTTCTACAAAAGGTCACGTTTCTAGATGAGTAAAAACAAGTTGGTCATATCTTGAAAGCTCTGAAAGAGTAAGTAAAAGTCTATGCATACCTAAGCATTCTTTCTTCCTTATAGGTATTCATTTGAGAATTTTTTAGAAGAGGTTTTGATGTGTGTGGTAATTAATTGAAATAAATGAAAAATCTGCCTTATATCCAGACTAAATTTGCTTCAACAGCTGCTGATCCTCAAGCTCTGAATGTCAGCCAATTAGTGGAGAAGTTTTCCATGGCTGCTGCCCTAACCAGGCTTCCTGTCTGACAGCCCCATTCTCAGCCTCAACCAGGGAGGTAAAACTTTAATTTTATTTTTTTTCATTTTACACAGAAGTCAAATCAGCAGATAAAAGATGTTGAGTTTTTTCAGATGATTGCTAACCCAAAACAACATGGCACAACATAACACATGACCAAAAATAAGAAAATAATATGTGGATTTTGAGGTTTAGCTAATCTTTGAATAAATGTCAGCTAACAGATTATTTTTTCCACTGGACATAATATAAAGAACTCCCCCCCCCGTTTTAATATAATAGATGAAGAAATGGGAGATGGGCAAATGTAAATGTAAAATTTAAGATCTGCACACTCTGAGGCACTTAGCAGTTCCTTTTAATCCCCTCCAAAATCTCTCTAAAAGTAAACGTAGAAACTCCCTTTTGGATTATATACAATTCAGAGTTAAACACAATTTTTTATAGATCAAATTATTATGTCTCATTTAGATTTTCATTTGTTAAAATCTGATGAAAAGAACTGACGTATGACCCCCTTTGTACAACCCAATTTCCTAAATTTTTATTTTACACTAATGCCTATACTTTGGCAAGTGGATCAGGTAGAATATCACAGATAAAGACCACACAGTAGTTTATATCATTGACAAAAGGCACAGTTAGAAAATTGCTGGTTTGCTACCCTTCTGTTGTACAGGAATAAGTCAATTCTGGTAACTAAAGTAATAGTCAACAAAATGCTAAATCCTGTTTCTACTGTCACTTTCAAGATGCAATATACTCATATCTAATACAGGGAGACGAGTCCGTTTGTGAACAGTCAGCCTATATGCAAAATGAGAGGTGAAATTTAGCCACATGGAGAAAGCAAATATGATTCCAAGCGCAATGAAGTTAATTGGAAATAAAATACATAACATTTATTGGACTTTAAAACAGTGAATTCCAAAATAATTAAGTTAATAAAAGTCTCACTCTTTCCTGAACTAAATTAAATGGCTCTAAAATTAATTTCATTGGTTTTTTAATTCACTGTTAACTCAATATAATGAGCTTTTAAAATTAACTTCTTTGTTTTTGAACTCACTGCAGAAGTCCATAAATGAACTTTTTTTTTTTGTTTAACTCATGAGTTAAACGAAACTTTTTCCAGATTTAGGAAGTAGTCATTTGATAGGTAGATAACAGAGGCATGTATAAGATCTAGGATATTTTACTTGGGGCATTCATCCTAGGATGTGAAAGGACCCATTTACTTATATAGTTGCCCCACAGTGTCCTCAGGGGAATTGATTGCAGAACACCTCCCCTGCATACCAAAATCCATACCCTATGTAAGTCCCTTTTATAAAACCTATGCATATCATCCTGTATACTTTAAATTATCTCTGGATTATTTATAATGTCAAAATACAATGTAAATGCTATGTAAATAATTGTCATATATATTGTTTTAAAATTTGAAGTATTTTTATTGTGGTTATTTTAATTTTTTTGCAATATTTTTGATCCATAGTTGATTAACTGTGGGATGAGGAACTTGCAGATACTGAGGGCCAACTGTTTTATATCTGCTATATGGACATGAGAAAGGCAAAGAATAACAAAAGTGAAATCAGTGATTTCAAATAATTATCTAAGAGGTAAATATACAGAAAACCAAAATGAACTTTCCAACTCCGGCAAATGGCATTTCAACAATGACCTAAGATATAAGTTAACAAAGTAATATGGATATTATATTTCTAAAATTCTATCCATTCAGTAGCCCAGATTAAAAGCTTTTTCTATATTTTCAAGATGGCAAGTAAGAATTGTACAATCTACAATTCATCCTTATGTGCATATTAAAATAAAGGCAAAGCTAGGCTCAGTGGCTTGCACCTGTAATCCTAGCTACCCGGGAGACTGAGGAGGGAGGATTACTTGAAACCAGGAGTTTGAGAGGAGCCTGGGCAACAAAGCAAGACCGTGTCTCTTAAAAAAAAAAATTAATTAATTAGCTAAATAAAGGCAAAAGAAAAGGCATTTTGCGTGTCTTTTATTGGTATATTTGGATAACAAATTATGAAGATTTATTTACATTTCAACTACTTAAATTTTAGTATCTGACTCTCTCTATATTTGGAACCTATTACTATAATGAAATACCTCTCATATTTGTATTTTACTTTCATTTTTTATTGCTACCAGTTTGTCCTACACGATTATCAGCCCAGGCTTGAATAATTATCATAGTGCCCTAGTTTATTTTCCTGCACTGACTCCCTTTCTCCTTGGAAATGTAGCATTTACGGTTATCCTCTCTGGAACACTCCCACATCAACCATCCTATGCATATCACCTGCCTTTCTTGGCTAATTCCAACTGTTCTGCTTTCAAAGCAAAGATCACTAACTCCTGGGAGCCTTCTCTTACCCTGCCTCCCAGGCTAGGTTAGGTGCTATTCCAAAATACTGGGTATTACATCTCTTTCTGACCACTGCTGGGCTGTGGGCCTTCCTTATGGTGAAAAATGGGTGTCTGCTTGTTTCATATTTGAATTTCCAGTGCTTGGCAGGGTGCATGACACATAATTTGCATCCAATAAATATTTGTTGAATGAATAAATCCTTAGCCACTGTCAGACTACTATTTCTGAAATATCGCATTCAATGTGTTACTTTTTGTTTAAGAAACTTCTCTTTTAGGTTGCTTTATAAAATCTAAACTCCTTTATTTCAGTTTATTTGTAATCCGGCTTGTTTCCTCAGAGTTCTAACATTCTCTTCAAAAGCCTTCCTATGTCTGTTCCCCTGCCTGGGACACTTTTCTCTCTCCTCAGCTCAAATTTCCTGATTCCGATCTCTTCAATTTTATGACAATTAACATTGATATTTTCATTGTTCTAAATGTATTTGCCATCCAGTGTAGCTCTTGATTATTGTATTAATTTTGTTCCCTAACTAGATGGTAATTCTTTGAAGGCAGCAACTATTTGGTAGTCCTGATAAGATTATAGGATCATAATCTAGGAAACAGGATTATAAAATCTTAACAAGTTGAGCTAAACACGTCACCTGATTCAGATCCCTACATTTAAACAAATAAGATACTGGGGCTAAGAAAGTGATTACATCCCATGCCAAGTCAGGTCCCAAGGGTGAGGTGAAGACGATGCACATAGCTTCTGTGTTACAGTATAGTCTGCCTTGCCATTGCCTGACCAACATAGCCATTTAATTGTAGTTAACTATCTTTCATTGAAAACCCTGTCTATAGCTTTTCCAGATATCCCACTCTGTAATCTTAGGTGAGCTACTATCTCTCTTATTTAGCATTATAGGGAATAAAATTCAAAACCTGGAAAATTTTTATTCACCAATTTCATACTACTTTAGGTGCTTAACAATAGCTTATTCCAACAAAGAGCTACACTCGAGGCTATTAATAGAGCAAGTATTTGGAACAATGAGATGCAGAGAGCACCCAGCTTCAGCTGATGGCTCTGAGGAAGACCTCGGTAGGTAACTGCAAAGGGTTGTGCCTTCGCCTGTGATGTGTGGCCCCTGGGTATTCATTCCTGGAACGCTGTCTCTGATCCTCAGCTGGACCCTCTGGCTGATAAAAAGTGCTGCAGCCAACCTCATGGCCACTGTGCCGGGGGCCCATGATCTCCAGTGTCATCACTACACTAAGAATGATTCTGGAAATTAGAGCCACTGTTCAAGTGGTTCAGAGGGATAAAAGAGATGGGCCTCCATTGTCACTGTAAATGTCCTTTTCAGTAAAGTTTAGGTAAGACTAAAAGAAGAGCGAAATAAGTCCTTTAACCTTCATCCCAAACTGCCCAGGTGGTTCCCACTAAGACTCCAAATCCTGGCTGTGTATTTTTTTTTTTAAATCATTGTTTTGGAATCCCTTTGGATGTTTTTTCCCCAAATAATCTGACTCATATATATCTGAGTATATGTATGCATTGACCCAGTTAGCCTCTTTTCGTGTTCATGCATTATTTGAAAACTTCCCCAAATTAATTCTAGTATGTAGTTCATCAAGAAGGTTACATAAAATCAATTGTACATGTATTTGAGCTATTTTGTTTACTTTCATTTATTGCTTAAGTTTTCTTTTTATTTCCTACTAACTAATCTGACATACCAATAAATTTATCTCCACTTAATATTTTTAAAACTTCTGGTATCAAAGTCCTACATATTCTAAATCATTTTTTTTTTTTTTAACATTTGAAATGTCTCCATAGTTCTGGCTCAAATGTTGATTCCTCATTCACATTTAACTTTCTCTAGCAATCTTTCCTAATGACCTAGGGATGAGAACAAGTTTTCTTTGATCTGGAGCCTAAGCAAGGACAGTTCCCAATAAAATTGACATACATCCTTTAAACATGCCTTAAAATGAAGAAACAGACAATATCTGCCTTGCTGCTTGTGGTGTAATGTCTCAAAAAGATTAGCAGTCACACAATTTGTGTGCATTTCATGACAGCTTCTAGCAGCATGCCACTATTAATATTTGCTCAGATGCAAACTTCAAAACTGCAAAATCTCCATTTTAATATCACACAAAATAGTAAGATATTTGCTACAGCAAAGATAAAGTAGAGCACAGTGATAGCCTTCTTTAATAATATGCACCTGCAAGATATTAGATCAGGTAATTAATATTTCCTTTAAGGTTAGCCAAATAGGTGGTCATTGGAGAGGTAATTAACGAGGCAAGCTAACATTTCTAAATTCAACACAAAGTTACAGTCAGGAATACAGGACTTAACTCTGGGAAAAGGAAGTGCATTTCTTGTGTTATTTTACTTGAGTAATTTTAAATCTTTAATGCTTTAAAAATTAATTACACCAATAGGATCATTGCTTTATTATGCTGTCAACATGAAAAGAACCTTTAGAGAAGTAATTCAGGTTTCTTAGCCCCTAGACTCTAATATTAAAACAGTACATTTACTATATTAAATGACCAGATTTGGGCAAAATAAGATGTGCATGTAAAACAACAGAAAAAATTTAGTGTGAGTCTAATTAATTTTTATATTTTCTTGCTTGGGGTTTTCCAAATGAACGAAGTCATTTCTATGTAAATGATTATGTCATCTGGTGGTTGTACTTTAACATGTTTAAGTTTTCTGACAATAAATATATTTGTTAAATTCTTGGTGGGATGTTTCTCTTAAATGGCATATTTTTAAAATATCAATTTTTATTCGTCTAAAAATCTCTTTATTATGGCAGATTTTTACAGGTGATACCATTTGTGCAGGGATACTTCCAATTATTTAATATTTTGTTTTAAGAGTAAAAGAAGAGACAAAGAAGGTATATGATTATAATAGCAAGAAAATAAGCATCACAGTGAACATAAGGTATGGAAAGGAATTTTTAACCCAGATATTTAATGCAAATATGAAAAACACTGTTTTACTGTTAGAGAAATCCAGTAATGGACAGGTACCTTTGAAAGTAGTGCAAACTGTACTCTCTATTATGTTCCACTTTTGCTTTGCAGAAATAAAGTGAATAACTGCTTGTGTAATTGTGAATTTGATTCACATTCACAAGAAAACTCAAGACACAAAAAACTGGGCCACACATGGTGGGTTGTGGCAGAATGAGTGAAGGAGGAATGCTACCTGACTTTTTTTGATATTACTCTTATATGTATTTCATATATGATCTATTGTCTCATGATTTCAGAGATAATTATACAGAAACAGTTGACTTGAAAGAAAAATTCTCGTAACACGGAAGCTTTAATTGTAATGCTTATATCATAGTACTAAAAATAAAAAACGAAGATACTGCCTGTACACTTATAATCAAGCTCTACATTTAATAAAAAGGGAAAAATTCATATGCTTGTGTTGTCAATAAACCATACTTCTGAAAACCCTAGGATCTGGCAATGATTTTCTGTGTTTAGGTATCAGAAATAAATAGCAAGAGAGGATAAAAATATGACTGTAATCCGAATCTTTACCACTTCAGTGTTTAAGTTTTGAAAGGTCAGTTAACAGTGCTTGACAAAAATAATTGATCCCAATTACACAAGTGCACGTTTGCTCCATAATACAATGCATTTTATCAAGTCAAATATGGATATATTATTATAAAACAAAATTGTCATTACTGATCATTTGAATATAAAATGTTTATTAAGTAATGTTTAATAAGAAAATTCGTATTTTTATTTATGCTGGGATATTAGTCCATATGAGATAATTAGATGTACATACTACATTAAGATGAGGCTTAATGACTAAAAATGTTAATAAAATATAAGAGGGACAGAGGCAAATAGAACAAAAGACTGTAAGCCACAGGGCAGAGACCTTGTCTGTTTTCCTCACTCTCATATCTTTTGACTACAACAGCTCCTGGCAACAGCTATTTGGGTTTGAATAGAAGAGAGCAAACACTAGATCCCATATGATAGAGTGATTTTGAAGTTCATTGAAAACAGTATTTAATTCATATAAATTAAGTAGTAGATAGAATCCATGAGAAAATGTAATTGGAGGTTTGCACTCAAGAAATATTTCTGAGCACCTATTTGCTGGACATTAGACATACAGAAATGAAAAAGAAGATAAAATTTGTGTCCTAGCAGGACTTTATGGCGGGTGGAGATAGAAGAATATTTTATAAATATGTAACATGTTGTTAGTTCAAACGTTGAGAGAAAAATAAATAAGAGAATAAGGGACAAGGCATCCCCAAAAGGTTTCTATTTTCATTTTGGCTATTTACAAAACGTGGTGGCCAGGGAAGACCTCACTAATGTGCAGATATTTGACTTGGGGTAAGAAGAAGGTGAGAAAACAAACCATGAGGACACATGAGGATTAAATAATAATACAGAGGCCTTGAGGTGGGAATGGTTTTAGACCATCCAAGAAAGAACCAAGAGATCCATGTGGCCCGAGCCAAGTGAGCAGGAGGAGGAAAGAAGATGCAGTGAAGACCCATCACCCAGGGCCTCAGAGGCCACGGTGAGGACTCGGCTTTTACACTGAACGAGATGGGAGTTATTGGTTGGTTGTGAGCAGAAGGATGACATGGCATCAATTCAGTTTTAACAGAGTCTGTGGCGTGATGCTGAAATCAGATTGTAAAGAGCAAGGATGGAATCAGGCATACAGTAAATAGGGCTTTATGATAATTGAGGTGGGAGACAATTGTGACTTGGGCTATGATGAGGGTTAGAAGTGGCAAGATTCTGGCTTTGCTTTGAAGGCAGAGTTGACAGGGTTTACTGGTAATTGGTTGTACAGACTGAGTTAGGCTAACAGAATAACTCCAAAAATTCTGACCTGAGCAACCACACCAAAAAGTAGTTTTTATTTACTGAATACTTTTGAAGAAGCAAGTTTGGGGGGTGGAAAATCAGTACATATCTTCAATTAATGTACTGAGAATATAGTCTCAAATGGGGTTCCATGATTACAGCTAAAAAAGTAAAGATTGATATTAATAGGTGGGAATGCTTTTGAATTTCCTTTCTGTGTGACTAAGTCCAGTAGATGACTAACGTAGGTCATTCCCGAGCAATACATCTTGTCAAGGCATGGACTGAAGGAGGCACCCACTACAGTGTGGCACTTGATTAAAATTAAATCATAAGTAATAGTGATAAAAATTTAACTTCAGCAATAAGTATCTATGAAGTTAAATTTTCATTAGCTGTATTAATAATGTGCCCATATCTACAGTGGAGGAAAAGCAAGTAAAATATGCTCTCCCTGACATAAAATAATCCCTAATTTGAAGCCAAATAATGCTTCTGTGGACTAGAACGTCATTCATCATTGCAGATGCTAAAACGAACTTTAACACGAAGACCCTAATCCAGGCCTTCTGGGGAGGTTGGTATTACTTATAGGGGCAAAAAATTGGTTTAAAAGGGGAAGGTTACCAAAAAAAAGTTCTTATATTACCATGGTTTTTGTTTCTCCAAATAGCACAGTACATATATCTTTGGTATGAAAATCTAATGGGTACATGGTAATTAGGAATAGAAAATATCTAAAAAGGCTCGTTTGGGGGACCATAATGATACAAGTTTAAGAAACACTGCCAATACTAGGTTTAGGTGCAAGGTTTATACAGATAAGTTTTCTTAAGCTATAAATTCAAAGTTGTACTTTTATCAAAACCAAACAAAACAATAGTTGGGAAGAAAAAAGCCAACAAAATGACAGGAGGCAACTTGAGCCTACTGCCACTGTCATCCTTGTGGCCCAAAGGGCCAAGGTTATTTACTTGCTTAGTCTAATAGACAGAATCACTAACTATCCTCACGTACACAAAGGGAGAAGAAAATCAGTCACTCAGAACCTTCTGGTCTATGGGGACCATGGGTCAGGTCTAACAGTGACAACCACAGATATTTATCATACTGGTCAGTTTGCTATAGAGTAAAATTATACCGCATTCTGGTCCACATGCTAGGACCCAAATAAAAAGCTAGAGAGAAATTAAAAGGTATGGAATCCAACTGACAGTTAATATTCAATGAATAAGCACTGGGTAAAGAAGATAGAGGTGAGGTTTTAGCAATACACAGATGTGATTTCTGATACCATTGTGAAATAGGCTGTTTATATTTGGCATCATCCTGAATTCACCTTTCCTCTGTTGCATTTCCTGGATTCCCCTCTTGTATGATCCATGTATTTCACATAATACATTATTTCTGGCTACCCCAAACTGAACACTCTTTTTCAGTCTCTCTTGATAGCTCCCCTCTTCTGCCATAATGCATTATATTAATGAAAGCAATGCCCTGTGATATTCTCTTTCATTTCTTTCTCATCCCACTTTGCTTACTTATTATCTCTCCTTAGTCAAACTTAAACACTCTCCTGACTTTACCTTCGATGAATGATAAGGAGTTACAAAAATCTCTCTTTCCAATCCTGACCTCTTTCTGGAGCTACAAACTAAACACTAGTATTCCAATCTTAATAGGTCCACAATAAAACACATTACATCCTCTCTTTCTTCATCTCTCTGTGCTTCTTTCTTTCTGTTTGCCTTCCTTCAATTAATGGTCCAACTCAACTTCTAGTCCTCAGTCTACAGAAATCTAAGGATCATTTCATATTTCATGTTCCACTGCTGTTGGAAAATAATAGCCCCCACCCCACCACAATATATTTATGTGTTCTAATATACGTGTTCTAGTTCCCAGAACCTGTGGATGTGACTTGGGAGAAAAGGTCTCCATAGATGTAACTAATTTAAGGATCTCAAGATGAGACCACTGGAGTGTGTTCTAAAGCCCATGGTAAGTGTCGTTACTAGAGGCATACAGAGAAGAGGATAAGATGCAGAGAAGAAGAAGAAGGCCAGGTGAAAATGGAGGCAGAAAGAGAAGTGATGTGGCCACAAGCCAAGGAAACTCCTGCAGCCACCAGAGGCTGAAAGTGGCAAAGGATTCCTTCCCACAGTCTTCGGAGGAAGTGTGGCCCTACTGATAAATTGATTTCAGACTTTTGGCCTCCAAAGGTGGGAGAGAATATTCTGTTGTTTTAAGCCAGCAGACTTTTGGTGATTTGTCAGGACATCCGAAGGAATGAATAACATCCGCCCACTACTGGCAGCCAATTAGTAAATCAATCTAGTTTGCAATGAGATATATGGATTCCAAGTCTGGTTGAGGCTATTATTCTCAGATAGGCTCTTGTGTACAATAGTTCATACCATATTGGAGCAGAGGTAAGAAACTTTAGAGAGAAAATAATAAACAAAATATAGTTCACTAGCTAATTTATCACAGACCTCTAATTACTTCATGGAAACACAATCTACTGAAGTTACTTTTTGTGATTGAATAGAAATATGTCTCCAATTTTATTTCAAGTTTCATAAAAATAAAAATTGGGAGATTTCTCAGCGATCATTTTATATAAGTGCCACTACAGAAATACGCCCTCAAATGCACCACCTTGACGGCTTCAAGAACATTCTCATCAAAATAGCCTAATGGGTTAAGACTTAGCTTCTGAAGCCAAATTAACTAAAATTATATTCATGGGTGACATTTGCCATGTGAACTTGGCAAATGTTACTTGCCTCTCTAGATCTTAGTTCCTTCACTTTTTTTTTTTTTTTTTTTTTTTGCTTTTTTTCTTTTTTTTGAGATGGAGTCTCTGTCACCCAGACTGGAGTGCAGTGGTGAGATCTCGGCTCACTGTAACCCCGCCTCCTGGGTTCAAGCGATTCTCCAGCCTCAGCCCCCCTAGTAGCTGGGATTACAGGCACCCACCATCATGCCCGGCTAATTTTTGTGTTTTTGTAGGGACAGGGTTTCACCATGTTGGCCAGGCTGGTCTTGAACTCCTGACCTCACGTGATCCACTGCCTCGGCCTCCCAAAGTGCTGGGATTACAGGCATGAGCCACCACACCTGGCAGTTTCCACACTTTTAAGATGAGGATATGAATAGTATTTCTTTTGTATGTTTGTTGACAGGATTAATTGAGATAACGTTTGTATAGTGCTTACCAAAATGCCCAGGACATATTAAGCACTCAATAAAAAGCTTTATGATCATTGCTTCGAACAACAATGTCCGTAGGTAGATCTGATGTCAAGGTCGATGAAAAACCCTGATGACGGTGGAGGATAACCAAGGTCTATGAAAGATTGACAAGAAATCTCTGCTGTTATTTTCTGGAATGTTATATCCATGGCTCCGAACAAAGATTCCAAGAGAAATGATGAGCAGATAGCTAAAATAGCAACCATTTTTCATAATAATTTGCTTTTAGGTAGTATTGATACTTTCAGAATAGATAAATCTTAGAAATAAGCTCTAGGTTCTATATTTATGGTGGTTAATAAAGCTCCTGGGTGTATCATTTCCCCTTATGCTTCTCAGATAAAATGAGGCAAGCTGAGAAAAATAACAACCTCTCCTCCATCTTCCAAGATTACCTGCAAATTTGAAATTTCAGAATTTTGTGAAATGCAAGATACAGTGAATGAAATACCTGCCAATACTTAGTTTTCAGTAATAATGTATAAATGGGTACTTGAACATTTTCAATATTTATGTATTTTTTAAGTGTCTGAAGGCAAAAAGAGATAATAGCCAATCTTTTATATCTGTAAAAGCCTTATGTTAGATTATCCTTCACTGGCTGAGAACAAATTCTGTTTCAACAGCATTAAAAGAGAAAAACAAATCAGAATGAAGTGTGTCGCAGTACAATTCCTTTGTAAACAGCTTGTAGGAAAAAAAAAAAATGTGCTGCTAGAAATGTATCACTGATTACAGTTACTAAAAGTTAAAAGGGTTTCCAAACCTATTAATTATATTTCTTCTTTCCAGACGCAGTTTGGTATGATTTTCAAATTCATAGTATGTCACAAATCATAACCCAGGATCAAATTTTTCACAAAAGTTAATATGATTTAGCCAGTTGGGTTAGGTTTATAACACACACACACACACACACACACACACACAAATAGGTTTATAATTTGTGCTTAGCTTCGCAGGCTTTGGATCTGAAATGTTGCTAATTAGCATGTTTGCAGGACTGTGACCCTGCAAACTTGCGAGATTATAAGGCAATTCTTCACATGTGGCTGGTGAAAATGTGGCACCAGACAGAAAGGCACCCAGTGGTCAGCATTTTGGGTTGGAAGGAAGTGTTAGCCCATAAAGAGATATTTATCTTTGAGTGCTTGACACTGATTCCTGACCTCAGCGTTGTTTGAATGTATAAAAAGCCCAAATATCCAAAGCTATGGAATGGATCTTCAAATTTTCCCCATAATGAGACTCAATTTTTGAAACTGACTCCTTTAATGGTATAAATATATACAAGCATGTCCATGCAGGACTTCGGAGCAGAAGCCCTCAGACCCAGATGTCTCCATTTGAATCTGGGCTCCACATTCATCACATGTGGATCCCAGTCAAAGTATCTGATTCTTCTGTGCCTCAGTTTCCTTGTCTGCCTAATGGGGATGATAATAATATTACCTATCAAAAATATTAAGATGAATTAATATAGGTAAAGATTTTTAAATAGAACTTAGAATATAGGAAATGCTTTGTGAATGTTTGCTATTATTTTTATATTACATAAACTGGAGTATTGTTTTGCAGATCGTTAATTAAGGGAAGTTGGAATAAAATTACATGCAAGATAAACTGGAATTTGGTATAAATAAGTACAGAAGGAAAAGAAGTCGAATTCTATCATGTAACCTGAATATTGCAGAAAGGGATAAAGGGAATAACTTTTGGAGGACCTCAATCATGGTTCAGACAACATCAGTTCATGTGAATAAGGAATTTCACATGGTCCTCTTAAGGAGGAAAACAGTATTAGTATCGTTTTAAATATGAGAAAGAGAAAATAGTAATCTCTATTATCTAGGACATGTAGTTTAACTTCAATGCTTCACCTATAAGTACTTCCACCTGTAAAATGCAGATAATAGTAATGACTATCTTAAAAGATATTTGAAGTGTAAAATAAGCTTGTGGAGAAAATAATGCTCAGAATATTGCCTGGTCAATAATAAGCACTCCGTAAGTGTTATTGAATGGACACACACAACTTTAGCTGTTTGTCTAGACATGGTCTTTCTTGTTTTTGTTTAGAATAACAGTTAAAGCTTTCTACATAAGCCATTTTTAATTTAGGTGCTATTTATGGGTAAATAACAAGAAGACATGTTGTTCAAATTTGGAGCCTATTTTATATACATATATATGTATAAAAGCTTATTTTATATATGTCTTATTATCTATTTTATATCTATTGCCAGAAATGTAAGCCCTATAAAGCCAAGGATCATTCACTGTTTATTTTGTTCACAGGAATCTCCCAAGTTCCAAGAAGTGTGTCTGGCATACAGTAGGTAATTTATTAATATGATAATTCATGAATTAAAACTTAAATGGTAATTTATTAATGGAAAAGGAATAAATGGAAATATTTTTATCCTCTTGTACAAGTTTGATCTGTAAACACTTTGTGTAAATCAATGCACAGTTGTGTCACTTTTAGAACAATTTTCCTAAAGTTGATGGTGATGAATTCTAGGGCTGTGTAAGAAGACAAATGATCTCTGCCCCAGCAGGAAAAGTCTAGCTCTCTTTTTGTACAGAAAGGAGAGAATGGAGCTCGTCAGTACTACTGGATAGTTTTGTTGCCACTCATTCTTTTCAAAAATGGTGTATTTATAAGTGACAATTTGTCCCAATTATTTCAAGATAGACTAAAAAAAAAAAAAATCTAACACTAAATGGCAAAACTTTCCAAACATTAAATCATAAGAACAGGCAGAGTGTGATGACAAGAATAAAAAAGAAGGGCCGGGTGCAGTGGCTCATGCCTGTAATCCCAGCACTTTGGGAGGCTGAGGCAGGCAGATCACCTGAGGTCAGAAGTTCGAGACCAGCCTGGCCAACATGGTGAAACCCTGTCTCTACTAAAAATATAAAAAAATTAGCCAGGCGTGGCGGTGGGCTACTCAGGAGGCTGAGGCAGGAGAATTGCTTGAGCCCAGGAAACAGGTTGCAGTGAGCCGATACAGTGCCACTGCACTCCAGCCTGGGTGACAGAGTAAGACTCTGTCTCAAAAAAAAAAAAAAAAAGAAGAAGAAGAAGAATAAAAAAGTCAAAGGAAAGAAGTAGAAATTAGGAGCAAGACTAAAGCAAGAGAATCCTAGTAAAGATATTGGTACTGGATTCTCCCTAAGAAAATCCCCTTATCAGGAGAGCTATTGGTAGACCCTACCCAAAACCTAAGTACTAATGAGATCCTTTAGGCCATTAATAATGTGGCCTATATAGTCTATTTATTTATTCATTTATTTTTAAGATGGACTCTCACTCTGTCGCCCAGGCTGGAGTGCAGTGGCTCAATCTCGGCTCACTGCAACCTCCACCTCCCAGGTTCAAGCGATTCTCCTGCCTCAGCCTCCAGCGTAGCTGGAATTACAGGTGCCCGCCACCATGCCTGCTAATTCTTCTGCATTTTTAGTAGAATCTGGGTTTCGCCATGTTGGCCACGGTGGTTTTGAACTCCTGACCTCAGGTGATCTGTCCACCTCGGCTTCCCAAAGTGCTAGGATTACAGGCATGAGTCACCACTCCCGGCCTATAGTCTTACCTATAATTCTTCTTTTGGGGCTGCTATCTTTGTTCTTTCATTTAATTTAGTCAAAATTATAAGTGAACCTTAATTTGGTAGTGAGAACCCCAAGTACAGTGTTCTTTGTGCTTTTTCCCTATAGAAAGATAGGAGAGAATACAGAAATAATTACAATTTGAGTCAAAATACTTGCATAGCCTCATTTTGAAATAAATTCAGTTCCTAAAACTAGTAGACTCTAAAGAAATATGGAATGAAAGTACCCATTAGAGTATCAAGTTCTGCTCCCAAGCGACACACAAACCATTTCAATTCTTCCTTTCCCTTCTGAAAGGCTTTGATTCTCTGCTGGATAAGAAGATCACCTCTGTGGCACCAGCTGCCGGCAAAGCTGCTTGTCGATGTCCCCACAGAAGCTGCACAGAGGAAACGACTTGGCAAGTGGCTGCAAGACCAGCAGAATCCCTGGTTGCCCAGTGTCTCCTGCCATGCGTGTTTTACTCTAAGCAGGCTGCCTTCCGCAACAACCACGTGGAGTGGCCCCTGAATGACACCTGGAGTGAAAACTTCATGGAAAGCAACGTCCACCCTCCCTTCTTCTCTCATTGCTTCTTTCTATTTGACGTGGCCTTAAGGAAGCTCACGTTATCCCATAACAGAAGGCAGTGGTGATGGTAGGGGTGAGGGTAGGGATACGCATGAGAATCAATATTTGTAAATGAAACAGCGTTGTCCTCTTAGTATTCTCAGTAATAGAATCCGCCTGTTCACCCGAGCTCCTACGCAAATATAGGATCATCTGAGCGTGGTTTCTCTGTATCTCTCAACTCTTGACTTGACTTGCTAATGTGGGATCAAATTCTTCAGCATCATCTATTTTGTAAGGATTTAATTTCATATGTGAAATCTGGGGAATGGTGTAATATGACAGTTAAAGGGAACGGAAGCTATTGTGCTTTCACAAAAGAGAAGAGAGATGCCACACTTTAGAAACCCTGAAAAGTGTAAAGAAAAAGGGAGGGTCCGACAGAGTGAAGTACATGCAGAAAAGGCAAGTCCTGTGGTGTGAGTTCAAAGCAGTTGTATCACTACGGAATGAAGTCCATTTATATGATTCTCATTCTCAGCCTTCAGACATTTACAAGTAAACTACTAAATATAATAGATTACAAGTTCGCTGAATCAGAAGAATCCCAGCTTTTGGTATGATTAAGTTTTAATTGTATTTCTCCTTCGGGATCACTAGTAGCTAATAAGCTCATGAAAATAGGTCTTTAAATAGCAGGAGTAGTAAAAGTCTCTCTGTGCAGTATATTTTGGTATGCTTGGTTGCCTCGGGCATTCTGCTGTCTGTAGTCTCAAGTGTTCCGTTTTCATATCAATGAAATATCTAAATAATACTCAAAAAATCCTCAGTTTTGAAACAAGATATCAGACACTCAGCTTATGAGTGGATTTTTCTTTCAAATTAATCAATAGGCAGTTTTTAAAAAGTACTACTATATTTTATTTACGAGAAAAGCCAGTGGGTAAGACATCTATCCAGAGGCACATGTTTCATAGTATTAGCTACAGATATTAGACTCAAAAATTCCTTCTTTTCTACTGTATCTTTTAATGCTGTAAAATAGGGACCATGTACATATCCCTTTGTCTATAACAAGCCTAACTTTCCAGCGTGTTCAATGTACCCTGGTAATACGCTATGCAGTATCTTTTCATGGCATAATGGTATCATCTTAAAAATGCAAACAGCCACTATTTTTAAAACAAGTAAACAAGGCTAGTGTGAAAAATATGTAAACTCTTTCATGATATCATTTTTCATTCAGTGGGCATGCTTAGGGGGCATATGTATAATTTGCCAAATTGCTCACATTTTTCACAAAATATGCAAAAATATCACTAGAAGGAAGATTATTATTACTATTTCAGTTCCCTTGGAAGTATATCACCTCTTGGAACTATTGCAGTCATACTTTTGGGCAAACTGGTACAGAGAGAGATACACAGTCAGGACCATCCTTGCCTCTTTGGCTGACAAGTGCTTTATACTTGGTCAGCTCATCTACCGTTACAAGTCTAGATGTGTCTTTCTTCTCTGCTTACAACCTTTAAGTGATGGTTCATTGCCTACCGGTAAAGTCAAGTTCCCTAGCAGGTTATTTAATGCCATTCATGAGTTTACTTGGGCCCAGTTTCAGCCTAATTTCTCTCTACTTTTTCTTTCTCAAGCCACCCTCCGTGATCTAGGATTATTAAACTCCATATGGTAAAATGGCCATGAGGTTTCTCTTCCTTAGGCCTTTGCAAAAGGTACTGCCTTTGTATTTTATCTCTCTAACAAGTTTCTATGCAAATTTTCTGCTAATCTCAATGCTTCTTCCAGGAGGCTTTCCTAATGGCCTTCTTCGTGTATATAAATTTGTTCTCCCTCTTCTTGCATGGATTACACTTGTTGTGATTAACACATTGCAATGTAACATGTATGAATAAATAGACTGTAGGATATCTTAAAGGAAAGGATTACACATAAAGCATTATCTTTTAATCCTCAGCCTCTAGCATGGTACCTACTGCATAGTAATATGTCAGTACCTGCTAGATGAATAATATCATAGTTTTAAGAATTCTATGAACATAAAACAGACATAGTAAAGAATTCGATGAGCATAAGATGATACTGTAAAACCATTTTATAAATACAGCTACAGAAGAAGTATATTTATCAACTGATGTTTCTGCAAGTAGAGAAAATTTAATTTTTGGATGACCTCATTTATGCTTGAAAATGAATACGGAATGTAACTTGATCCTTTTTACAGAACTTGAAGTCATAAACTCTCCCTGTCACCTCTCTCTATTATATAACAAACACAATTTTATTTTTTTAATGGTGCCCTCTAAGAGTTTATTGCCCTTCAGCTAAAATACAGTGGGGAAGATGCTCTTATGGCATTTTTGACCTGACATGAAGTATGTGTCAACAGAACCCTTGCAAAAAGTAGCTCTCTCAGGATTTCTTCCCAATTTTGAGAAGGCAAGAGGTCCAGATAAACATCTCGACGTGAAGCCTTTTGAGGTTAGCTCATCATTACTAAGTTTCCTGCCCCAATCACTTTCAGACTGCAACTGTCACATCATTGATCACGTGCCTTTGGCCACAAAATCAATAGCATTGAGTACCTAGAGAAAACATTTGTTCTAGAAACCTAAGACAGACCTCCTGTCCACAACTGAGCAAAATATATCAAAGCACATTAACCATGGAATGATTCCTTGAGTTTATTTTGGTTAACAGGGATAATTTAAAGTAGAGAGATGGCCCAAGAGAGAGATTATCCACAATTTTATAGATTTACCAACTTCTCTCTACTTAGGAACCCTAATTTCCCACATGCTCACAGCTCTCCCTGGTGACTGTCTGTGGTTTAATAACATATGTTGCCTGGAGGGCGATGGAAGAGCTGAGGAAGCATCATCCAATCCGACATTCAATTGTAGGAATTGGAAAATGGAACACTCCATTTTATAGCACTGAAAATAGTTCAGGTAAAGTTCTAACACTTCCCAGGTATACAATAATTCTTAAGATTACTAAAGCATGTAGTGCCAGAATTTAGTTGAAGACAATTTTCCCTCATTTTCTACAAAAACCTCATTTACTCTAAAACTTCTTTACCTCAAAAACTTCTTAAACAACTTATAAATATCCATGCTAATGAAACAGTTACCTCTATTGACAAAAAGATGAAGAGCTTGCAAAGCTTGTTGAATGTCCCACCAAGAAGAACAATCTATTAGGACTCCTAATTACTAATGAAAATCCAGTTTTTATTATCTATTCCATCATACCATTATTTCCCTATGATAGTAAAAATAAAATGAGCTGTTAACCTCATCTTCAAATAGGATCCAGACCCACTGACTTCTCAGATTTGCATTAATAAATTTGCTTTTCTTTGAATAAAATGCAGGATTTTTTTTTCAAAAATTCCTTATAGATTTGGTTCCAAAATAATTGACACTGTATTGCCAAAAGATAGGGAAAAAGGCTCTAAGAGATGTGATGGCAAGCTGAAGAGATTTTAATACAAATGGATAGTAAAAACTGTACCCTTGGCAGCAGACATTTAAGAGTGTGCACATTCCCTCTCAAAAGCAAAACTGAAGATTCATGGATTTTTTTTTTTTACCAGATTCAGCAACTTTAGCAAATCAACCTCATATATAAACACACATGTACACACGATTACCCACACGAACACTCTCACCAATCTCAACTCCAGGATGGCCAGATTTTTTTCAAATTTAGGGACAAGGGTGCACATTGGTCTTTTTTTACTGGCTAGCTGAGTATGATACCAGCAACCTGCAGTGTTAGCTGCCCCGAGAAAGCACTGCAGGTAACATTGGTAATACTCACCTGGGGGCAGCTTTTTAAGTAGGAAGAGCCAATTCACACCTTTTGCTTAGCTCAGATATTGTCTCTTCTCAGCAGGAGGTGCCAATTGTGCCAAACTGTGCTGAATTAATTGGGGTTGCTTGGCTCTGTCTCCAGTTAGTTACCAACATATATCCATGAAAACAAAGAAAAACAAGGGAAAAACTCACCTTGATATTCTTGTTCTCTTATAACACATGTCTATCCACCTTATGTTCTTCTTGAATGTTTAATACACTGACCACTCTGAAGCTTCGGAGCTTTATCACTATACAGAAGTTCTTGTTGAGTGTGATTTATCACTACTTTACCTATATATATCAGTTTGAATGTAATCTTCTTGAATGGCTTATTCTGCAGCCTTTTATTTTATAAAAATATTCACTTTGTGTGTATAGAAATAAATTATAGCATGGCATTAATATTGCTATCTTTTGGGGAGGCTTTATTAAAAAGACGAAGATTCATATGCACTATGAGAAACAGGCAGTGTTCACTCTTAAGAATATTTTGAACAAAGTTACCCTTGGAAAATAGACGCTATACCTTGTGATAGGCCATTTAAACAAGTCTTAGAGTTGCTAAGCCCAAAGAAATTCCCTCTGGCTGGGAAACGCCCATTGGTTTAAGAATTCTTAAGGGCTGAAAGCACCTGTCAATATATTTTCCAGAGTTCCAGTTTAGTCTCGCTCTAACCATGCAACTTGATTTTCATCTTTTTGCCAACATAAAAATACCAAGAATATTCCAGTCAATATTCTTGATATTTCTTACTGTATTTACCCTGCTAATTTCTGCCTAACTTTTCTTTCAGCTTCCTTTATTGCATGCCTCCTGACTACCTCCCTTGCAAAGCTTCCTGATTTGACCCTCATAGTATCCCCTCTTAAATTCTTACTATTTCCAGTGTTTTGCCAGAAGACGTAGCATCTGTTTACCTCTATAATCTGATATTTTCTACTTCCTCCATGTTATACTCTTGTATCCTCAAGCAGATGGTAGGAAATTGAAAGTACATCAGACTTTAACAATTCTTTTGTATCCCTTTGCTATTAAACACAAAGCAAATCCGATCTTAAAATTAAACAGGTAGACCTCTGCAGGGTGTGAGTGTTCTCTTGAGAAGTATGTTAGCCTTAGATAATACAATCACATCAGTGTGACATTTGAGAGGGGACACCAGCAACAGATACACAGTTGGACTACAATACATGGGACCTAAATTTCATACAGTTCCTATAATTACTCTAGGTACTTTATTAGCTACTATAATTATATGATCTCATGTTAATCATTAGAGCATCTTTATGTACTAAGTATAATAAACCTATTTATAAGCACAACACGAGAAATGCAGAACAGATAATTGTCTGAATTCATATAGAAAATACAAAAATGCATAAAACAATGTTTCTCTCTTGGTTTATATCATTTATAGGAAATCTATTTTTTTCTTCCACTATTCTTTCCTTCCATCTAAGCAAATTTTTCATTAGTTTACTTTTTTGATTCTTTATTCACAATCCACTTACTAACTTAATAGTGGTAAATGGGACTGTTATCTTGGATGCATCTTTGTATCTGCATGTTAACTATGATTATAGTGTCCTTAGTCTCTGAAGTGAAAGACAGACATTTCCAAGAAATATAAAGAAAGACATAGGAGCTAATGGAAAATCCATCAACAAATTTATACAGATTATTTACAGCACCATTCTTAGACCCAGAAGAACTACACAATAGCAGAAATCAAATCAGAAAAGGCTAATTTTTCTGTATGTTTTTATGAGCATATTGCAACTTACACTGTTCTACTTGCTAGTTTCAAATAACTGAAAGGAGAAAAAAAATCTCAAAGTTTGTTAGAAAAAGATAGAAAGCCTAAGAAAAGTACTGTTCAGAAGTTTATGCCGTGATTTCTGCTTTATTTTTACAACTTGGAAACTGAAATTTAAAAATATGCATGATCTCACTCAGTTATTTGTTTGTACAGTCTTCTACTTGGGCGTGAGATTACTGAAAGGATATATTTGCTTAAAACTCCATTTGATTTTTCTTCTAAAGCAATAAAAATAAGAGTCAATTAAAAATAACTAATCTGAATTAGAGAAGAAAGAAACTTGGAATCTATAAAAATTAAAACAAATGTATTTAAGTAGAACCTTGTGTCTTACAGTTAAAGAGATACTCTTATCCTGCGCTTTGGTACTGAAGGCCAGAGAGGCTAAATGATTGGACGTTGTCTTTGTTTAACAATAAAGAAACAAATGCCTGATAAGTTATGTCATTTAATCAACAGCCATATAGACAAGAGAAAAATATAATTAGAGTCAGGCTCTATTTCCTTCCAGTCTTCTCCCTACAACAGAGAAAGACATGAAATTCTTATTGGGTAAAAAAATACTGTGTCTAAGCTAACTTCATCCTCCACTGGAAAAATCATTTTGAAGATGCTTCCATTTTAGCCAAACCAATATGAAGTTTGGAATTATATAAATTTCTCTCTCTTTTTAATTTTAAGTGATGGTTACAGGTTTCAAACATGTTTGGACTAGGTTTCTAAGAGTAAAAGATAATGATAGTTGAGAAATAACTGTCTGAAAATGTTGACAGTGATGACTTTTTATTCAGTACCTTTGGCGAATCTATATAATATATATCCAATTATATTATATAAATATAAATATTTGTGTATACATGTACACACACACCTATACACACCTTGGTCAATATATACCATAGCTGCAGTGCAGAAGTAAAATGCAACAACCACACTGGAAAACTGCCAGGTCTTACAAAGTTAAATGTACATTTATCACATGACCAAGCAATTCCTCTCATCGTATTCACCCTAGAGTGAATTCACCTATATCCACAGAAATGCTTTTTTTTTTTTTTTTGAGATTGAGTCTTGCTCTGTCACCCAAGCTGGAGCGCAATCTCAGCTCACTGCAAGCTCCACCTCCTGGGTTCACGCCATTCTCCTGCCTCAGCCTCCCAAGTATCTGGGACTACAGGTGCCCACCACCACGCCCGGCTAATTTTTTTTTGTATTTTAGTAGAGACAGGGTTTCACTATGTTAGCCATGACAGTCTCCATCTCCTGACCTCATGATCCGCTCGCCTCGGCCTCCCAAAGTGCTAGGATTACAGGTGTGAAGAAATGCTTGTTATAGAATGTTCATGACAGCTTTATTCATAATAGCCAAAAACTGGAAACATCTCAAATGTCCAATAACAGATACATGAATAAACAAGTTGAACTATATAATGGAAGAGTACTCAACAATGACAACAAATGAACTACATGCAATGACATGGTGAAAGGATGGGATTCAATAAGTTAATACTTTCATCCTTTAAATTAAAGATGATTAAAAAGTTCAATTAAAATATGATGAATTTTTTTCTCTTCTAATTACTTGTATAAAACCCTGTAGAATATATTTACTTATTTTGTATTACATTTTTAAGTAATATGGTTGTATTTTATTCAAATGGAATGTAAAATTAGCAGAAATCTTTATATGTGAAAGATGAGAAATAATTTAATTGTCCATTGGCTAATCAATCAAATTATATTTTTCTAAAATGCTTGGTATCATTGAAAAATGCTCCATATATAATATCAAGTAAATAAATTAAATAAAAATATACTATCCACATATGCATAAAGAAACATTCTTAAAAACGCATCAAAGTGTTCACAATTATTGTCTCTGGTGGCAGAACTGGGGTTACTTAAAATGTTTAATTTCACTTTTTCTGGTATTTTCCAATCATTATAATTAATATCATTAATATCTTTTATAATCAGAATAAAAACAAATGCCAATCAAAATTTTTCCTGGGTCTAGAAATGGAGATGATGGATAATATATAATTTGACTTTTATTTTTAAACCCAAATTATGTGCTCTTTGTGGCTTTCCTTTCCAAACACAGGAAATAGTTGAAGGGACAAGGAGGAACAAAAACTAAGTCAAGAGAAATAACTGTAGAATTGATTTGAATGAAGCATAATTAAAGTCGCTGATAGAAACACATTCTATCACATTCAGATGACAAGATATGCAGAAAATTTCAAATAACATTATACGGAATGTCTCTGATGCACTGTAATTGTACTAGGTGCATGGTGACTGCAGCTGTCTGTACAAACAAATGTTTGGGGTATAATGAATACTAATGCTTCCTGGAGGTAATTGTCCTATTATATTCAGAGTTCAGTAGTTTGGCTTATTAATATTATGTGGTACAGTGTTCTTAGCTAGGCAGTCAAGTTTTCTTCAAAGTGAGCTACTTCAGGTTGCAGTGTTTATTGACTATCCGGATTGCAATTATGAAAATATCATTGAATTTTCAGTGTTCCTGTGGTTAAGATATTCACTTACTGTAGGGTTGAGCTTGTACTATAAAAAGCTTAAAGCTACTGACCCTCATTTAGCAAAGTTCAATTTGGAAAACGTGTATTCTTTCTCACAGCTTCTGCAATTATCAAGGCAAAACATTCTGTTAGGTTCTTTAATCAATGTTTGTTTTCTACTTGCAGAAGTGGCTACCCAAGGTAGGATATGTAGCACCCGTAAGGCTAATTTTAGGCCATATTCGACTCTTAGGGTTCCTGGGCTCCTTGATGGCAAGGGCTGTATGGATTCCCTGGCTCTCGCTGGGAGTACTTGACCCTGAGAGCTTAACTCAGAGAGCTGTGGAAATGAACTACAGGGTAACCTAGTTCATCCTCCTGACAACGTCATATGCTGTCAAGGTGTCAAGTGTAATGCGAAATTACTCAGAATTTTTAAATACTAGAAAAATTTAATATAAATTAATATACATTAAATCAATCTATAAGATAGGACTGTATATATAATCTGATAAAGAAACAGATGTGGAGACAACTCTTGAATTACTTTGGAATATGAAGAACTGGGCTTTAAATAGAAAATTGCCAAAATGATATTAAAACTAAGATACCTAAAGAGAAATTTCCTAAAAAAATTGATTAAAAATGTAGTTTAGGGCACAATTTTAAAGATGTATCTATATTAAGTATAAAGCACCTTAATAAAAGAGACAATGTTATTCATATTTTATTGCTTTTGATGTATTTCAAATTAAATTACATGGGCTTTTCAATGTGCAACTGATTAAATTCATTTATTCAGAATTATTAGATAATCAATCTGTTGAAGAGTCTGCTTAAAGAGAATTACTATATATTGCATAAATTACTATATACATAAAAAATGAACTTTGAAATGCTTAGTACTTACATTGCAGTATTATATTTGTACCAGCAGAGATGCTTCGCGTTTTTTTCCCTGTTGATATATGCTTAGCTTAACTTCTTTGATGATTTTCAAGGTACTCTGTAAAGTCACCTTCTCTATTGTAATTCTACCTTGAATTTCAAACTTTTATTTTAACAGCAGAATGCTGTTCTTAACACAATGTTATGAAGAAACCAATCACTCAAAACAGATAAAAAACAGAGTGAGGAAGGGATTAGGAACCCAGGCACATGGGGCTCTGGCTCTCAGTTCCTGTGACGCCCCTTTCTGGTGGTTCCCGAGGGTATTTTGGGGTGTCCCTAGGAATTTTCTGAGAACAACTTGAAAAGCACCGTCTCAATAGATGAGGGCACAAATTGTTCTCTGGTTGGTTTTCATCAAATTAACTCCATTTTCTTAGTGACTATTGTTATCCTTCATGTAAAATCACAATCTAGAATACTGAGAGGACAACATCGTGGAATTTTAAATACCCATGTCTGTTCTTTTCCTTGTGATTAAAACCTAAGAATAAATCTGTTAAGTCAATTTGACCGTATATTTTCCATTGGTAGATTTATAATTATGATTACATGTAGATTCAAAAGAAGTGAAAATTTCTAGTAGTTCACTCTGGATAGTAAAGGCCTTTACAAAAGATAGCTTACTCTGGCACTAATGTTTACAAATATTCTATAAAAGTTACTGTTGTAATTTATCGCTGAGAGCCAGTGTGTGATGTTTTCCTGTTATTATGCCATGAATGTCTGTCAGGAAGACGGACACGGGAAGGCCCATCTGTGAGCCGAGAGACTCTTCTACCATTTAGTCTTCTGAGTACACTTCTGGCAAGGCCTGCGAACGCGCGATAGAAATTCAGCGATGTTGATGCTGAGTGTGCAATCATCTGCTTCCATTTGTCCCTGTGGTTGGCATGGATTAATAGGCCGAGGCAGGAGATGGGCACAGCACAAATTGAAAATAGTGGAGCATTTTGCACCAAAGGAGTCAGAGGATAAGAACTACAATGGGCAGGCAAGGAGACGGTGAGCGGGCTGGAGGCGGTGCGCCGCGTCAGCGAGAGACTGCGGCAGCTTCCGGACAGTTCCGGCTCATCACATCCCCATCTAACGAAGGCCGGGCCCACCTGCTGTATGTCGTTTTATTGTTATTTGAGTGGCTTTTACATGATAGTCTAATTTCGGATTCCATGCGAAACTCACAGGCAAATCGATTAACATGACATGTTAACATTGCAGGGAAAATGATGTAAATATTCCATTGTACAGGAAGACCTGCAATTATCATCCAGAATGTGGGCTCATTGTAAAGAACAGATAAATCATTTCAGATTACCGTATACATCCCACAGACTAAGTAGTTCTCTCTTAGGCGCCCTCATTTAGAAGGGAGAATGGAAACATCTGACTGCCAGTCATACACCAAATGGCATCCAACACCTGCTGATATGGGCTGTGGAGAAGGCACTGATGAGACTCAGACACCTCTAGATTTCCAACAACATGGCTAGGGTATAAACCAAGGAAAGCTGAATTGAAAAAGTGATATAAAGAAAGCTATACACATTTGAGGGCAATATGTCTCAGGTGATTGTTTCATTATGACAGAAAAATGGCGGTGGGTAGGAATGAAATCTGGAGAAGGAAGAGTCAGCAATTATGGATCTACTGTCCCCAAAGGAGAGCAACTGGCCAATCCAAATTCTATGGATCATCTTGTGTGTAGTCTCCCTACAGTGAGAAATACGGTGCACCACACTGTCCATTTGGCGCTCTGACTTCATGCGCCCCAGAATGGCAAACCCTGTAGAACATGGGTTGGGTCTACAGAGTATCTGTAGTGGCCAGCTATTACTATTCCTTGTAGCTATTCAAGAAATATTTGTTGAATGAAAGAAAGAATGACTGATATAGAGAAAAAATATGTAGTGCAAAACGATAGATATTTTAGAAGAAAGAAAAATTAAAAAATTGGGATCACTGGTTAGGGATCCCAAAAAATTGGGATCACTTAGCACATCTAGTATAATTTAGCATGAGAAAAAGAAAGTAAACTGGATGAGTCTCTACTTATATAAGAATGATTCATCACAGGAAATGTGAAGGCAGGCTTGGATAATTTCTTAGATTCCTTCCTCTGTATGAATTTATAGCTCAATAATTCAGTAAAAGTTGAAAAGTGAGGAATGTCCAGTCGGTGCTCATTCCCATCGTCAACTTCACTGGTGCAATTACGCTATGCACATCTGTGGGTCAGTGTCGTGCAGGAGAAACAGGACTTAAGAGGAACAAAAGCTTTCTGTTAAACATGACACAAACACTGATTGAGATCAAAGAGTATTAACACTGGGATGAAGCTCTTGATCAGGTATCAAACTACCTAGAGAATCTTTGTGTGAACAATTAAAACAAGTTATTTCAAAAGTGTAAGAAAATATTTTAACTGAGATATTGTACATTAGATAAGGTCCACTGTGTATGTATTATAATTTAAATAGGTTTTAATAAACATTTGGTATTATGGATCCATAATGTGGAAGCATTTTTTTTGTTAATTTTGTGCAAATTCACAGTTAATGCCATTAAAACTCTAAATGAGCAGTTCTGGTGTGCAAATGCCTAGTAAGATTAATACACAAAATCCTGCTATCTCTCAGCTGTCTCATTAGCATGATAACAGGCCCAGAGGAGTTTCAAATCCCTTAACACACAAAAGACATATTTTCTACCATTTTTCGTTCATACCATCATAAAAATGGAAATTAAACCACATAAAATAATCTTCCAAAAATATCAAGGGTCCAGTCCAAATACATAAAATCTTTTTTTATATATATTAAACTACACAAGGCTTGTTGAAATGATACTGAGGAACTGACTTGTATACACAGAAACCAAGACCAATCTACAATGCATTTATATTTTATCCCAAAGCCCAGACATTTAGGGTTCTTGGCAAAATTGAGAAATACTGAATGATCTAGTATGTTAAGCTGTTTGTTTTCTCTAGAAACTAAGTACCATGTGTGGGTTAAAGATGGACTTTCAAAAATCTAATTGCGCATCTGCTTGCAAGGGTTTAAGTCAAAGCCATAGTGTTATTGCACTGGATGCTTTTGTGGTTAACAAGGAAGAAAATAAAAACAAATTATCCTCTTTGTTATGGAGGATATGCTTTACAATATCACTGCATGGTGACAACTTCTTGTCCTCCTGTCACTGCCTGTCCTTTAGACCAGACCACAGAAAAGCAATTTTCTGCCTCAAAAGCACTCTATTTTTTTTAAAGTTTGTCCCTGGGCAATTTTCAGGTCTACTAGAGCTGCACATCTGTATACAGATGAGAAAGACCCAAAATAGGGCAATTTATTTGATTCCTCCTCTTCAAAACATTTAGCTGAGATTGTATATCCAACAGAGAAAGCCCAAAAAGAATATTCAGTAGTGACCCACAGTGACATGTATCCTTTTTGTAAATTTGCATCGAACATACTTTCCAAATAACGTAGACAACCAAGAGTTGCTTTTTGTTTAATGTAAACCTTTAACAGTAAATTTTCCCTAGGATATTAAAAGCTATTTTCTACTAAAAAAAGGGCAAATCCCTAGAAATAGGTAGTTAAATACAGCATATGGAATTTTCAGATGAAGAATCGCTTAATTTTAAGCGGTCTGCTCATTTGAATCAGCAGTTTGGTTTTCTGATTGAGGAGTAAAGGGCACCTTTGATGCAAAAATGTATTCCCCCAATGTTCAGTTGCTGATAATTTCACACTTATCAACCTGGTACCAGCATGACCATAATAGCCTCCTGATGTAACTCTGCCCTAACATAGCATGGAATGTTCCACAATGGTCTCTTACCCCGGTCGGAAAACAAGTTTACCTGTAATAGTGTCTATGAAGAAGAATGATTTAAAAGTTGTTGGATTTTAGAACTAATGCTTGCTGACAACTTTGGAAAGAATATTGTCTTTTTAAAATCATTAACCCCCTCAAGGCAGAATTATTTTTTCCAATTCATCATTAGTTTTTAATATAACTATAAAGGCTTCTTTTATCAAATATGATATTGTACAGTATACTTAATAAAGTGAGCAATATTGAACACGTTTCTGCTGAATAACTAGGCAAATTCCTATGTCTGAAACTTAGGATTTTTAATTAGAAACTAGTCATGAATATCAACATAGGTTACAGAAAAGCAAATTCATTGGTCTTGGTACTCTCTGCCTTTTTCCTGCTGGTGAGTCTGTGTGTGTGTACATGTGTGTGTGTGGTCATTTGCATTTCTGTGTGTGCACATCAGTCTCCCTCTTTTTCTCATTCTCTTTCTTGCTGTCTCTTTAATTTCTCTCTGTGTATGTGAGCCACTTTGAGACTTCTTGAGGTAGTTTATGTGCTCTTAGCCTAATGATAAGTAACCAAGTAAAAAATTAAAAGAAATACAGTGGAAATTGTATATCTGAAGAGCAATAAAAAATCTCTAGCACTAATGAAGTTATTCCAAACCTGGTGCTTTCTAAATTTTTTTAGCATAACCTAAATGACTTGTTAAATTTTCATGAGCACCATAAAATTGTCTGAACGGTAGAAACTTGATCTTAATTCCTCATCACATATTGCTTCTTAGACTATGTTTTCTTGTCCTGCCCCCAATTCTTCTCATAAGGCTGCTTTTTCAACTTCATCTAGTCCAGCTTGTGCCTTTGTCACTGGGGGGGAAACTGACCTTCACTGAGGTCTCTGACGACCTCATTACAACTAAGCCCAAGGGCCAGTCCAATTTTCAAACCTCATCTTTCCTCAACCTCTTCACAGCATTTGTCACATTCAACCATCTCCTGTTTCTCAAAATGCTTTCTGATCTCAGTTCCTGACTCCTGCTTAGTTGGGTCTGGCTTCCTTCATTGTCAGCAATGTATTTATGTCAGTCATTCTTAGCAAACTCCAAGTAAAAGTAGCAAAGTCTACAATTTACTCTCTCTGTGCGTCTCTGTTTCTCTCTCTCTCATTCCTCACCTAGGCACTTAAACCTGAACCAGAAGTTGTTCATCACTGCCATCATCTTTACTGTGAAGGATTAAGATCCACCATATCTTAGCGGACAATATCCATCATCACTACCTTTGATCTCTGCCCATTCACACGCCTCCCCAGAGATGTAGAGATTAGGTATCACCACTGGGGCAGGATTTCAAGAATGTAATCTATATCTAAAATCATTTCTTTTTAACAAGTCACAAAGTTCTTAAATGTCAGGCAGCCTAGTGAGTTATCTGTGCACAGGTTTCCCTCTTCTACTTTTCACATGATACTTTCTCCAGGCTTAAAATCAGTCTTCCTCATGTTTCCATTGCTATGCATCCCTCTAACAACTAGATGGGATGCTTTCCTTCAATCAAGGATAGCTCAAGGACAGTCAGGATGCTTCATCTCAATGCAGTAAGCAATAAATATGCTTTAATCCATGCCATCTAAAACTACTACACTTCAAAATTTACATTTATGTGCAATATATATAGGACCTGTCACTTCCATTTTATTTTTTCTTTTAAAAGTTTTGACATTTTGATATAATAATGCATTATCACATACTTAAATTTACATAGCATCCTGTTAATTTGTAATATAATACAATTGAAAGGAAACTGTATATGTATTAACATAAGTCATATAAGTCATTCTTCGGGTCTCCGGGATTATGAGAGGAGAGAGAACAGGAATGATTTGAATCTGCATAGACTTAGTGCCTCACCGTAGCTAGTGGTTTCAATCTTCTTCACCAATACATGCCTTTAGATAGAAGTAGTAGAATTTTTATTTTAATTGTGATGGAATTGGCTGATTTGAGCATTTCTTCTGTCTTCTTTTCTGTCTATCCTTTGGAAGGCAGTCAAGTGGCCACATGTTAGCAGAAGAATAAAATGTATCAAGGGTCTCAGATAAATCACGACTTAAATAACCGAGACTTGCTTGGTTAATCAATATAGATTCACAATATTTGGCCTCAAGCAATGCAGGAAAAAAAGTCAGGGGTGACCAATTGTCATTAGGATAATTCTCTTTGAGTAGATAAAAATAACACAAGAGTAAGCAAGAAGAGACATTGGGAGCTACCTTCACTGCTGATTTTACTTCAAAATACCTAATTATGCAAGTTACTGTACCACACTGTAGAGCTCCTAAGTGCTAGAAAACATTTCACGCAGTGGCTAGTGCCATCAGTCAGGCCTCAGTGGTCATAAACCACTGACAGTTTAAGGTCCAACCGCATGAGGCTGCGGGATTCATTTTGGTTTCTTTAAAAGTAATGCTGTAGTAGTGTCAATCAGACGTTATCAGGAGGAAACTGAAGAAAGCCACTGATGCATAAATTTACCTAGCCTGAAATCCTTTCTTTTCAGGAAAAAAAAAAAAAGTTGAGCTTTGCCTCACATTTGCATTGCACTTGTAGTTTACTTTTGTTGTACAATAAACATTTCATTTTAGCATTGGTATGCACAGGAAAATGGTGAAAAAGGGGTGGCTGAAATAAAAACTCTTCCTAACTGTGTAGGGCACAGAATGCAACCACCTTCCTTTCACATAAAAATAGGAATTTAGAATGTTTTTTTTTGGTCAGTGTGCATGCCTGATGTATATACATACTCAAATAATTTTTCTGCAAAAGCATTTGAAAAGATATTCAAATATTGTGATGTTTTGTATAGATATCAGGGAGCTAGCATCTTTAAAATTTTGTGTTTCAGTTTTGCAAAGCAGAAGTGTGTTTTGTATTTAGAGTACTTGTCCAATAGATGTTCAATGTTTGCAGAGTGTCAGAGTAAATAAATGATTTCAGGTTAGATGCTTCTAGAAGCCACATCATCACTCTGAGGTGTGGGCTAACTAATCCATTTCATCCTTAAATTAAATACTATGCTATCAGTCTCTAAAGCTGTTCTCTATTTTCCCACTATGACTTTCTCATCTATGTCAAGGGTTTCATCATTCTCCCAGTAATCAAGATTGTGTCACATCTGATTTATCTTTCTCACACACATCTTTTGCATCTGCCCATCCTCGACCATTATTAAAATTAAAGCTCAAACTTTAATTCTGCTACGGAGTTAATCTATCCAAAACAATATTCACATTCCTCCAAAACTCTATGATATAAAATCATATTTATTGTTCTTGTAGTTAAAGTTCTCTACAACCTGGTTGAGCCTCATGTCTCCCAGTGGCTATACAAAAACCTTTAACCAAGGAGATATGGTTCTCAACATTCCTTTCTCATTCTTGTCTCTGGAACTCGTTTGTGCAATTCTTGCCACTTGAAATGCCCTCCTCCCTTCTATCCACCTATCCAAACTCTCCACATTATTCAAAGCTCACATGAAGCCCCGATTTCACTGTGAAATCACCGTCTTCCTCGTCCCAGAATGCAATAGCAGGTCTTCTGCTGATTATTCAGTCAATATCTCATCAGTTATTCATTACACTTTGCTACCAAGACCGGCTATACATTTGCAAAATCAAGAACAAAATAAAAATGGGAGGATCTTCGTTCAAAATTTCCAAGGATTTGCAGATGGTGAGAACACAACATTAAACCAAGCATAGGGTTCTTCTACATGCAGGATGCTGTGAGATCGCCCCAGTGGCAGGCACACCCATGAAGCTGGCCCTGTTGCTATATCACGTTGTCATTAGATATTTGAAATATATAACTTATAATAAATATTAATACCTCTATCTGGATTATAAATTCTTAGGGGAATGGATCAGGTATTTTATTTACAGTATTTGTTATTAGCTGTAGAGCCAACCACTGTATGATAACTCTGAAATCACTCATTTATTATAGATTTATATCATGCCTTACCAATAAACATTATTGTCATTGGCATTGTAGCAAATCATGCTTTGAAAAACTGTTATACAAAATTTTCTTCAACAGGGATTTTCTACCCTATCCTTCAAAAGAATGACAATTATGCAAGATATACACACAACACATTATAAAGAAGCAGTGATTATGTTATTTTGATTTTAAGAACATGTCAAAGTCTCCTAGACTTCATCATATGTTTTGATTGTCTTATTTTTATGAGGACGCAACATAATATGTGCCTTTAAAGAGTAACAATACTGTATTTCTCACCTCTGTTAATCAAACCACAACCTACTTATTCCACTGGAATAAGTAAGTTGGAAAGTGACAGGAAACAGAAAAAGAAGAAAAGATTAACCAGTAGGTGGGAGGGAAAAGCATCTCTGAAGAGTCCCAAGAAAGCCAAAATTGCCATGTATCCCTTGCCTCTCCTCCCTCCTGGAGCATTTCCCCAGTGGAGGATGGAAGTGACTAAAGGCTGTTTGCAAAGCACAGCTGATATTCTTATTGGACACTGTTCAACCCATGACACAATATGGTATCACTCTTAAAACAAATAAAAAATAAATGGCAAGACTTTCCCCAACAGAGATTGACTGTTCATCTTCATTTAGCCTTTCAAAGTGCTTCACTTTCAAGGTGACAGTGCTAAGTATGGCCCATAAATCCATCTCTGGCTTGCCTGTAGACAGTTATAGTATATGTTAGATTTCTTTGCTCCAAGCAGTGCTCTAGACTAACCCTTGTTAAAAGTATTACTGTAGATATTTCAGTACCTCCAACAAAAATGTCACCTTTGAAGTTATTTTCCTGCAAAATTCAAACTACATTAATCTTACTTCCAGAGGTATTTGAAGTTTGGGCTTCCCTGAGTTGAAACCATTTCTCATGATACTAAAATAAAAATCAAGCTCTATAACTTAAATGTCTCAGTAGCGGTAGGAAACAGACCAAAAATAGCCTTAAAGATCTCTTTTAAGTGGGAAAATGGCAACTGAGGAAGGGAAATCAAGGAAAATCTCTACCTCCACATCTGCAGTGATACAGGAATGTCTAAATAGAATTCATGTAATTCATGAGAAAGTTTAATTGTCTCACATTTTCTTTGGATGTTGCTGTATTATCAGCTGATTTTATTTTGCAAGTGCTTTGTAAAAGTTCCTTTTAGTATAATGATGTACAAAATGTTTCATTGTAGAAAAATTTACATAAAACTCATTTTAGATTTCCTTTGGTAATCAGACACAAGGAGCCATCACCGTATTGTCTGGATGACAGAGGAACTACTTCTTGTGATTTGAAAGGTTGAAGTTGAGTTGATTTTTCTTCTCTATTTTGCTTCCAAGATGACCACATAGTTATGAAGCTTTATAATGACATTTTTTTCACACTTTCAGGCATTCTAAAAGCTACCTTTTTCTTGAAAAAACATTTTTGTAATTATTTATCAAAAATGAGATGCGGTAGAATCTCTACCTTGAATGCTACGAGAAATTGTAGGTAATCAAAAGCATTCAAAATGCAAGCTGCTCTTCTCAGGACATCAGACAATGAAATGTTAGATAAAGAGAGAGTTCCGAAAGTACAAGCGAATGGCTTTTATTTTAACGATGAAAATAGAAACAAAACAACCATTTTCATATGTATTGGGAGGAAACTGACTAGAAAGTCTATGCAGCAATTATAGAAGTCAGTGCAGTAGAATTCAGCATATAGTAAAGTAATTCTGTTCAGATGTTTGCCTGAGCTAATATCAATATAGAACCCACAAATGGAAATAAAATTAAAATCAAATATGAAGTTGAAATAAAATATGAAATAAATTTGAAATGAAAAAAGACAGATGAAATACAGGTAAATGTAAATTATTATACAACTGACTGCATAGTAATAGTTGTTAAAATTATAATAGAAAATATCTGTACTAACAAAATATTTGGGGATTAGGAAAGGGACAATGGAACATTAGAATTTTTGTGTTTGTAAACAGAAAAAAGTCCTCCTCAGGGGTCGGACAATAGATTCTAACTTGTAGTTCTTCAAAAACTACATGTGACAAAGTCCAGTCTGATAATTGTTCCCTATCCCTTAACATCAACTCCTTACCTCTGGAAATGTGGATAAGATGTATATGTTTAAAAATGTATACCAAAGCAATACCATCAGGCCAGAGACTTGGCAAATTGTTGAGGCCTGGTTACAGCCATCCGTCTACAGTGCCAGGCTGCAGCTATGATTTTCCCCAGGTACAAACATCTAACATTATATCGCTTCACTTTAGTCTTATACCATTATCCTGATGAATAGTCTTGCCAGCTAACACGTATGTGATTTTATGTCCCACTCTGAGAACATGGGATTCCTCCTCTCCAGAGGAATCAAATGCTGAATGCTAATTAATTGCGCTTCCACTTTTTCAGGAATGAGTAGTTGTTCTTCTAACTCCAAGTGGTGATCCGTTTTTCTTTGGAGCTTCAACTAAAGATTTAAAGACCTATTAGAAATTCTGCCTTGAGCTGCATTAGTTGTGGTAGAATAATAATAGCTATAATAGGATACAATACTTAGGTATTCAATTAGGGGCTTTTCCTCAGAAGAAAACTGAAGTTTGAATCACTATCTCAGTTTTACAATGGATGGGATTGAAGTCAAGCACCTGGGAAACGACAAGGTTGCAACCCAAATGCTGGTTTTTTAATTCAGTGAGAAATAATGTTATAAAGAGGGTTTAGTACCTCTGGTTCCACCATATTTGGTGTAAACTCTTATAGTTTACACCAAATTTCTGTAGACTTGAAATCTGCTTTGGTAGACTTCAAACCTATTTCTAATAATATGCTCATAAAAAAAATGCAGCTCCAAACAAGTTGGAAACTATTTTCATAATCACTTTAGGACTTTAAATACATTACCCAACTTAACGGACTTGTAGTATATTTAAAAATTTGTTTGCAAGTTTATTTCTGGTGTGTAGGTTACAGATAAATGTCATGGTTCCTTTAATGTGTGTGTGTGTGTGTGTGTTTGTGTATTCATTTCTCATCTTTTTTTCTAGTATATTTTTGGCCAGAAAGATGAAGCTTCAATTTTCTGAGCTTTCCATTATAAATCAAGATCCCCACATGAGATGCTGAATTTTAAAAACCGGAGGATTTCCATATTGGTCAGATTCATGGTTCAGTCAATCAACTTAAAGAAGTCCCACCCTGTTATGTGAAGCCACACTCTTGACCTGACATTGTCTACCTTTCTTTTTCTCTCAGGACCTTCCATTTATAATTCCTTTTTTTTTTTGGTTAAAAAATGGTGTAGACAGGGAGGGGAAAAACACACACTGGGGCCTGCAGGTGGATAGGATCAGGGGAGGGAAGGCATTAGAAGAAATAGCTAATGCATGCTGGGCTTAATACGTATGTGATGGGTTGATAGGTGAAGCAAACCACCATGGTGCACCATTTACCTATATAACAAATCTGCATATCCTGCTCATGTACCCCAGAACTTAAAATAAAAATAAAAATTAAAAAAAGGAAAAAAAAATAAGAAATCCAAGGGGCTGGGAATGGTGTAGAGAGGCTGAAGAAAAAGAAATTAAAAAAAAAAAAACAAAAAACCGAGAAAGTAAAGAAATAAAGCTTGTGAAGAGAGACAAAAGAACAGTAAGAAAAGATTCAGGACAACAAAACAGGAAAATAATTGAGAAATGATGAAAATGGGTGGCTGGAGGATGGATCACATTTGGAGAAAAATTACTACAGTCAATGACATATTTTCTACTTTTATTTATTCCAGAAATATTTCCTGATTCTCCTTTGGGACTCTTCATTAGACACAGAAGGTGATGCCTTTTGTCAGAAGACATGAGTGAAGCGGGTGGTGAAGCCTAGATAAGGTAAGGTTAAATTCTCAAACTGTCCGTGTGTTTGACTTTCAGCCTCTCTTCTAAAGGATCCCAAAGCAATTTAACTGGGAACCTCATTTTTTCTAAATGCCGGACATTAATTACATGTTACATGTTCAGATGAACAAATCTGGGATTCTATTTAAGACAGAACTCATCCTCCTTTCTCAGTAACTCTAAGATTCTCCTGATTCCCTCTCCTACCAGATTACCTCCTGCTTGTTTGGGGTAGACTTTTGTTGGTTTCTGTTACAGCTTTGCCAGAAACATCTGTTGTAACCCACTTCTCCCTTTGTCGGTGAAAAAACAATGTGTATCTTTACCTTCCATCTTACATGTTTATCTGCCACAAGCCACTCAGTTATTTTGGTGAGCAGCTCCAGCAGAGTTCTCAGTGTCTGGAGAGATGCAAAGGTCACCAAAGGTAAAGAGGAGTAAATGGTGTTTTTGGCTTCCACCAAGATTTTGAAAAGCCAGGCTGGGGTTTTATTACACTACCATCTATGTGCTAAGGAGTATAATTCTGGTAACTCAGAATCATTTTGTCTGAAATTATTGCTTGAGCAATATATTTGCATGACGACTCAGAACGCAAATATAAAATATGACCTTTATACAGTGGTCCCCCACATGGTTCCCTTGCAAAGAAACACAATAGTCCCAGTGTGGTTCCAGAGCTTTTCATTTGTCTTTCTCAAGAAAGTAATAAGGATAAAGTCATAGCAATACTTCTGAAATACCCTGTTTCTCTCTCATTTCATCTGCCTTTGCAATCTTCTCCTCAATACCTTAAGAAACCCAACTCCCAGCTGCAGCTTGATTGCTGCATCATCCATCCAACCCTTCCCTCATTTCCTCTAGATCTGCAATCTGAAAGCTCCCTGGAATTATGTGGCAAGTACCTCCATAGAATGAGGGAGTAACACAAACTGAAGAAATAAAGACAGAATCCTCTTTAGCAAACAGAGGAACAGCCAACCTAGGAAAATGTCTTCACTGGCATTCTGGCCCCATCATTCATTGTTAATTGTCCTTGTAGTCAATAATGCTGAAACAGATAAAGATTAGATAAGTCCAAGATGTACAATAGCTGTGTTTTATTCCATTACATATTGAGTTTTCAATTTTCTTACACAAAACAAAATGTTTCTCCCCAAAACGTTGACTTTCAAACAACCTAGTTAATTGCAAGGTGATTTTTTCTTCTGACATTAACAGTTATGGATATTAAGCAGATTTACTTTATTTACAATGTGGAAGTTGTTCAAATTTATATATTATTTTATTTTACTATATTGGCTTATAGACTATTTGCATGTTCTTAAACATCTCACGTGATTCAAAATAATCCCTTAGCAATGTTTAGATCACACATTAAGGATGTTAAATTATAAGAAGCTTCAAATATAAGGATATCGAATCAGATCAATCAAATTTTCAGTACAACTTCCTCCTTACCAACAAACTGTGAGGTGACTTCGTGCTTAAGTTACCATTAGACACTACTATGACAAGAAAAGGATGGTACGTTTGCAGTATAATCGCTTAGGAGTTTTCTTCCACATCTATCAAAGAGAAGCCACTTTCTTTTACATGCATATGAAAAAAACAAAAGATAACTTTTATATAACTATCTACTGAGCTCATAACTTTGATTTGAGATTTTCATATTATTTGGAAAATTATGGATATTATTTCATTTAAATGCTTTAATTCAGTCCTTAGTTGGTCTTGAGTGATGTTTGCCATTATGCAGCTTAAAACATTCAAATGTAAATGAACAATCATATAAAGTGGAATCTGAGTACACTGTACAAATATCTACTGGCACTATTTTCTTTGCAGGAGAGGGGTGCAGGGATAATTTGACAGAGCAAAAATTAATTGTCCTGTGTATCACTGCACAAGACAACTATTGTGAAGGGTAGACCCACAGAGATCCTGGAAATTCTGATGAAGCAAGCATCAAGACGGCAAGGTTTCCTTAAACATCAGAGGTGCAAATGTGCTTATAACTTACCCAGGTTTGGGATGACTCATACTGCCATTATACACCTGAATATTTTCTTATTCACCTGTATTGTTAATTGAATTTTAAATAGAGATTGCTTAAAAGTTCAAAATTGGTTCTAGATCTCCGCAGTTATTTCATTGAGAGATAAATATAAAATGTGAAATAAGATAGGGTTAATCACAAATCATATGTTAATTTTAAATTCATTTAAATAGAACATAATCAAGTGACAACAAGTCAGTTTGAAAGAGTAGATAATTACATTCATTTGGCAAAAAGAGGCACTCAAACAACCAACTCCACCACCCCAAGAATAGTTCGAGAGAGACAAACTTAATATGAGTCTAAGAACAAGACCTGGACTAGAAGAACACGGTGCTATGGACTGTGTTGGAAACACTGGATATTGTAGCAGTGGAGAGAGGAAGCAAGTTCCCTGGAATTCCAATGCCGGGTGCCCAATTCATATCTAAATGACTGTATCTTTGTTTAAAGCACACCAACGTCGCTACAAAAATATCATCCTCCCAAGCCTGACAGTGAATAATTGCTTTGTACTATGTGCAGTTTGGGACTATGTCGTTTTGGGTTACCCTTGGTCCTCCTCTTCTCCGTGTGTAACAATGCTCATGAACCAACTAGAGAGTCTGAAATCCTAATGACATGCCTGTGTTTGTATGATGCCTTGTGCCTTGCTTTGTACTTGGTGGAAGTTCAATTAATATTAATGGGTGAATGGAATATTTGCTGATGCTATTCTATGGATATTTTGTTAGTGAAATGGTTACTTGGCATGGTGATTTCCTCTCATACTTTTGATATTTAAATACAATCTACCACCTGGTTTATGTTTGTAAAGTGAAATGCACTTATATATGCCCGAATATGATGAGGCACTGAATTTTTTCCAAGTTTCTTTTGCATGCATACTTTTCCTTCATTGATTCCATTAAAAAAAAACTGCAATTGTAAGCAATGCTCTCTCCTTGAGCCCCTATAGTTAAAAAAAATAATAATAATCAAGAAAGAAAACTTTCTCCTCTATGGCAACTGCTTCCCTTGTGGTACCACACCGATATTTGCAAGGCAAGGTCACTTTTAATGCCATAGAAGATGAAAGAAAAAAAAAAAAAACAAAACAAAACAAGGGAAAACGGTTTTTGTCTTCACTGATTCTGCCAAACTGATAGCAGACATTGACGACACAAGAGGGAAAGGTCGTCATGGCCCCTTACTCCCAGATCTGCCCTAGAAACAGTGAAAGAGAGTGAAATGTATTTGTCCTACCATGTGTACAAAATATAATACAAAATATTAAAATATGTATATCCTTCAAGAGATCAACACGATTGTTAACATTTGCTTTGAAAACAGCTTTCTGAAACATACTTAAAATACCAAGATACAAAAAACACCTTAGACACTGAACATACTCCTGTAAAATTAATTAATCACTTGGAGGATTTAGCAGGAGGAAATGGCCTTAAACATCTTATATGCTCAGCTGGTGGTAGAAGGTAGACTGAAATGACAATTTTGTTTAAAAATGGAAAAAGAGGGGAAGAAACTGAGATTCAGTATAAAGATATACATGTTTGGGACAAGCAGAAAGACCATTTTATATCTACACGTGGCCTACAGAGAAGTAGAAGAAGGAAAAGGTGAAAGATTAATGAGGAGGATTTATTGCATTTTCTATCATCTATGTGAATTATTACCTAGATGCCTGATACGTCCTAAAAGGAAAACTGTGATGAATAAATAAACAGCTCTCGAAATCTTCAATAGGGTGCTTTACCTTGCAGGGAATATTATCATTGGCTTTTGATACAATTTCTGCTGCAGGGAAAGACTTTCAAAGCTCAGAATGCTGAAGCATTGCCAGGCGCTCAAAGACCCCCTGCTGAGCGCGTCAAACTAAGAAATCTCTCTGAACTTGTCGAATTAAAAGTCATCTCCCTCTCTCTGCAACCCCTGCATGAGCTGGGAAGCTCTGTCCTCATTTTTTAGGCCCCTCCATGATAAACAAATGGAGCCTAGAGCATCTTTATTCTTTAGAGCCATGCAATTAAAATTCTTTTAGAAAATGTAATTGAAGGCAATGAATTTCAAAAGGAATTTCTAGTTAACAATGAGACGAAACAGTTTGAGTGGGCCACATGCAATTGTGTTTCAGAAGTAACAGCAAAACAGCTTGTTAAGAACCAGAGAAGTGTCCTTTTTTATTTTTATTATTTTGATTGTACATCAAGAGGTTGTTCCAGACTTAAACATCTCAGCAGGATTTATGGTTTCTGGAATGTCATAAGACTTAATTACTCAGGCTGCAAAGAGGAGTATACTAGTAAAATATGAACAAAGCCATCTGAGATCCCTGGTCGCTGCAAATCATTATTTATCTATCCCCCCCACACAAATTAAAGAAGTTTAAATTGTGTTTGCATTTTTTAGGCGCCACACTGTACTTTTCCTTTTCCCCCCTTATCCTTGTGTGTTCACAACACCAACCCCATTGTAACAATGTGATAATCCCCGCAGCATTAAATTGATGGGGCTACAAACAGATACTGTAACAAAGAGTTTCAAAGTCCTTTGTTAATTAGCAAAAATTAGAGAAGCATTTTAAATGTGTTTAGATAAACAGAATAGGGATGAATTACCAATTTCAAGTGCCCAAGATGAAAATGAACCATTTTCAAAAAAGGCTGATAGTGTTACACTGAGTCTTTGGGGAAGAGTTTCTAAAGATCATTCATTCTTTGGTCTATATCTTTATAAGCGATTACTTATATTAGTGTTATTAATTGCTCCCTAGTGTCTGAAATATCTCTGATGGTAGGTATGAAAAGGGGAGTAAATGTTGAATATGTTGTCATTACCCACTGAGGAAGAGGTTGGATATCTGTGTGTGTATGTGTGTGTGTGTATAATTCTTACTAAAGCATGCTTTGCTTATAGGACTGATCCTGCTTTCCAAATGGAGAATGTTGATCAAGATAAGGCATCAGTCTGTTTTAAGTGTGTAAATTTTGCAGTATATTGGTGCCTAGAACAAAAAATAGCACATTCAGGTGAATGAGGACATTTTTGTGGCACAATATCGTTTTAATGACTTTGAATGCCAAATGATGTTTAGAGTAGAAAATGTTCAATTACAGAGAATTGGGACCAGTGAGACATGTTATAAAAGGAAGCCAACAGGACGATGTTATAAAAGCAAGTGTCATATAATTGTTACAGGGTCCCTGAAACCACAGGAAGTTTTTGAAGAAAGAAGGGGCATGAATGGCATGAATGGCATTAGATACTGAAGAAAGCTTATAAGAATGAGACTGAGAAAAATGAGGTGGAATTTGTTGATTAGCAGCTAATACATAAAGAAGAAAACATGTGATTGCAGGGGGTTAAGGAAAAACTCCTTAAAAATATAGACAATGAGGAAATTACATTTATTTGGGATAGTGTTTAGTAAAGGGGAAAAATGACAGAGGACAATGGGATTAAATGGGAAGGTTTTAATATTTGTTTTAAAAGAAACTTATTTAAAAAGGGAAGGAGGTAGATTCAAGCACTCAGGGGCATAGATTCAGGGACCTAAAGATGGGTCTGTAAAAAGGGAACAGCATTTTTTAGTTGTCATCTTATTCTATTATGAAAATAGTTGGTGGGGAGTGGTGGCTCATGCCTGTAATCCCAGCACTTTGGGAGGCCAAAGTGGGCGGATCACTTGAGGTCAGGAGTTGGAAACCAGGCTGGTGTACATGGTGAAACCCGGTCTCTACTAAAACTACAAATCAATTAGTCAGACATGGTGGCTGGCGCCTGTAATCCCAGCTACTTGGGAGGCTGAGGCAGGAGAACTGCTTGAACCCGGGAGGTGGAGGTTGCAGTCAGCCAAGATCTCCTTACTGCACTCCAGCCAGTAAGGAGCAACAGAGCAAGACGCTGTCTCAAAAAAAGAAAAGAAAAGAAAGGAAAAGAAAGAAAATAGTCCATTAAGTCAAAGAGAAATTGTTGACTTAAGCGCCCTGAGTAGTATTTCAATTGTTCCACCAATGTATGTAAAAAATTAAATCAATTTTCTCCAAAGAGAAATTATTCGTTATTTTGATTGAGTTTTCTATACATTCAACTGGTGAACTGGACAACAGTAAACATTAAAGATAAGCTGGGTGCGGTGGCTCACGCCTGTAATCCCAGCACTTTAGGAGGCTGAGGCAGGTGGATCACCTGAGGCCAGGAGTCTGAGACCAGCAAGGCCAACATGGCGAAACCCATCTCTACTAAAAATACAAAAATTAGCCAGGCACGGTGGCACACACCGGTAGTCCCAGCTACTCACGAGCCTGTGTTATGAGAATTGCTTGAACCCAGGAGGTGGAGGTTGCAGTGAGCCAAGATCCTGCCACTGCACTCCAGCCTGGGCGACAGAGAGAAACTCTGTCTCAACAAAACAAAACAAAACAAAACAAAACAAAACAACACAACAAAAAAATAAAGATAGGTAAGGAGGTTTCTTAATGTTAAGAAATATAAATATTTTCACAGCATTCAAGGTCAATTATCAGAAACGACTGGAATATTTCATGAATAGAACATAAATAAATTAAAAAATTTATTTACGTAGCCTTCAGTTTCTTCCTGTCTTTCTTTTATTTAAACTTTGTTTCTATGACATTTATAGTGTTTTGTTTTCCTTTCATTTAAAAAGAATCCAAACATGTTAACCACAACAAACATTTGCTGCCTGAAAAAAAATCAAACAAGAACTATATGGCCGGGCGCGGTGGCTCACGCCTGTAATCCCAGCACTGTGGGAGGCCGAGGCGGGCAGATCACTTGAGGTCAGGAGATCGAGACCATCCTGGCTAACACGGTGAAACCCCGTCTCTACTAAAAATACAAAAAATTAGCCGGGCGTGGTGGCGGGCGCCTGTAGTCCCAGCTACTCGGGAGGCTGAGGCAGGAGAATGGCGTGAACCCAGGAGGCGGAGTTTGCAGTGAGCCGAGATCACACCACTGCACTCCAGCCTGGGCGACAGAGCGGGACTCCGTCTCAAAAAAAAAAAAAAAAAAAAAAAAAAAAAAAAAAAGAAATACAATACCTAGATGTCTATGTAAAGGAAGACTCTAATCGAATCTGAAGTTCTTGATTATACCTCAGACATTGTAACCCGTTTCAGAAGACTTCCCCAGAATCTCTTCTCTAGGTACATGTGTTCTTCAATCAGAACAAAGAAGGATCTCACTTTCTGATATCACAGTAAATGCAAGTGCAGCCCTCTAGGTGAAATTATGTGAAAATCCTTTCTTTGAGAAAGGATTCAGGAAGAAGCAAGTCGAACTGAAATTGACTTATATATCTGAGCTATAGCTATGGTACCCAGTGGATCATAAGTGAATTATCTCACCTGATTTTATTTACCCCTCCTCTAGGCCCTACTTTGCTTTTAATGTCTGTTTCTAGAACAAGTTTGATGAGAACAGATATTCATCACAATTGTCTTTGCCATGAATCAAGGATGAGGAATTAGCAATAATAAAGATAATTAAATATAATTTATAGCCTATTTTGTATTAAAGTTCTCAAATTATGTGCATTAGGCATATTGGCGACACTTGGAACTACTTCAGATAAACTTATATTTGTCAAGGTATATATGCATTTTGAGGGCTGCATGGGTAATTGCTTTAATAAGGATAGAATCTTTTCCCCTTACCATAGCTATAAGGATTTAGTTGTATTTGTTTTTTCTTTTTTTCTTTTTCTTTTTTTTTTTTTTTTTTTGAGATGGAGTCTCGCTCTGTCACCCAGGCTGGGGTGCAGTGGCATGATCTCACTCACTGCAAGCTCCGCTGCCCGGGTTCACACCATTCTCCTGCCTCACCCACCTGAGTAGCTGGGACTACAGGCTCCCGCCACCACACCCGGCTAATTTTTTGTATTTTTAGTAGAGACGGGGTTTCACTGTGTTAGCCAGGATGGTCTCGATCTCCTGACCTCGTGATCCGCCCGCCTCGGCCTCTCAAAATGCTGGGATTACAGGCATGAGCCACAGTGCCCGGCCCTTAGTTTTTTTTTTTTTTTTTTTTTTTTTTTTTTTTTGTTTTAGATAGTGTGAACCCTTCCAAAAATGAAGTAAGAATGACTATTATCTGTTTTTCATTTTAACAAAAATATATGGAGCAACTGTAATATATACTAAGGGCTTTGCTAAGCATTGGGAGAAGCAAAGATGGTTTCTCTTCTAAAATAACTTACCATTTAGCTTTGGGCTGACTGTATTTCTCGGTTTTACGTCTGGAGTTGCGTGGCAGACACTCATCATTAATTTGGGGTAGCTAGGCTTTTAACCATATTTCATGCTGGACAAAGTGTCTATTTTAAAAGTTTTGTGGAAGACACTCTCTGTAAGAGCTAAAAACATCATAGGCTCATGTCAGCCGGAGAGGTGCACTGCTCAGATTTCCGAATATTCAAGAGAGATCCTGCTGCAAAGAAAATTGTGTAGCCAATAAACCTCCAGTTGCTGAAACCCTGGGATTCACTAGAACGTTCACACTCATCCCAGGTTTTCCCTGAACGACTGCTAGCCAGTGTCTGAACATAGCAGGTACAAGAACCTGCCCCTTTCTGCCCCGTGGTGGCTGCTTCCAAGGGGCACCCTTTGCCTTAGGGCTCTCTGTTAGGTTGGCTGAGACTGTCTCAGAGCTACACTGCCGCTGAGCCCCCACCTCCCCAATCCTCCGTTCTCCACACTTTTCTTTCTTTCAAAGGTGTCAGTTTCACACTGGGGGCTGAATGCTCTTTTTGCTCACTCCTGCTTTCTCCCTTACTTATCATTCACAGATGTGTTCTCAATAAATCTTATGCACATAGCATTCCATTTTGTCATCTGTTTCCTGGAAGACCCAAACTGGTACAATGCCAGTCTTCAAATTTGTGCTTGATATATAGGAATTTTTTCCCACAGAGGGTCAATGCATTTCATTGGGGAGGACTTTCTTAAGATGTACACAAACAGAAGTGGGATCCAGCTTCACACTCTTCCCATGACAAGATATTATGAAGAGCCAAATCAATAAATCTGTTTCAAATGCATATATTTGGTTAGAGTCCAGGCAAAATATGCAGAGCCAAGATTAAATGCCATTGCAGGCTCTGGAAAGTTTCCTTGACTGAAATAGCCAGTCTTTCTTCAAAAATTCAATGAATAGAAGTATAAAAATGCCGGTGCTGTAAATCAGAGAATAACAAATTGCAGCTCATGGAGCTTCAGTTAGTCCTTCATGTTACATGTAGTTGAACCAATATATCATGCTACTGATTGTTCAGAATCTACTGGATTCCCTGAGAGGAGAAGGTCAAAACAAGCACATTATAAGACCCTTTTATTTCTCAATTTAAACTACATATTGGCATTTACACAGGTAGTTCAAGTATTGATCTTTGTTTCTGGATGGGGTCGTGGGACAAAATCATAATACATTTAGAAATTTTGTGACCA